>NW_003315940.1:0-184319 GCF_000001405.40 Homo sapiens
TGTGTGGTGTGAAAGTAGACAGACAACCAGGTAAACAAATAGGCATGGCTGTGTTCCAACTTTACTTATCAAAACAGGTAGTATGCTGGATTTGGCCCATGGGCCATAGTTTGCCAACTGCTGCTACATATCATTTCCTTTTGTTCTCTAAAAAAAGAAGAAGAAAGAAAGAAAAAAAAACAAACCAAAACCAAAGCCACAGTGAAGACAATAGCAGTATCAGCTCTATTAGATGGTGAGGCTGGGACTTATGAAAGTTATGAGAGGCCAAGCTGGATTTGAACCTGACTTCGTAGTTCCAGAACAGTACTTGGAGCCTTGAATATGTATCAAGAAGGCACTTGATACATATTCAACGTTCAGTATTTATTTAAGCTTGATACTCTTTTCATAGCATCTTCAGTTCTTCAAACAGAAATGGATGGTGTCAAATAGAAACTCTGCCAAAGCGCAGGCCTTGGGTAGGTTTCTGACAATTTCCCAAGCTTCCCAGTTTAAGCTATGCAGTGTGAGCTGTGGGGACCCAGCCTTATCATTCAAAATACCAGATTCAATTTTATGTGTTGCCACTGATACTTGTTTAATCAAAAACATTGATGATCTGTTTTCTCCTGCAAACTCTGAGTCCACTTTGAATACAGATATGGCTTTTCTTGTTGAGTGCAGATTCTTATTTCTAACTGAGGATCTCGCTCCTCTGAGCAGATAGACCTTGAGTCAGAGGAAGTTGGAGGCTTTCTGCCTAAAGATCTGCCCACATAGTGATTTCAAACCCGAATCTTTACACCTAATTTTTGAAAGGTAGTTGATTAAACTAACCCAAGGAAATTTGCAAGGCTCCTCATTAATGGTTGTTGCTAATGGAAATGACTATGAGACTTTTATGTCACTATTTGTTTTTCCTAACTGTCCCCCAACAGCCTGCCTCTCTATTAAATTATTTTATTGTTATGCCTATTATCTACTACCAAGTCACTGATAAAATAAGCCATTTAAAAAAGACATAAAGATGTGCCCCAGATAAAATGTACATCTTTGAAAAAGAAAAGGATTGAGTCTTTGAGTGCTACCTCCCCGTCTTTCTCCCTTTTCCATAATTTCATGTAAGAAATTCTGCATGATTTGAAGAGAAAGTATTTAAGTTAGCTGGCCTTAACCAAGTACCATCACTTTAGGATGAAATATTCTGTCTTTTGGAAAGAATGTTTCATTTTATTTTATGTAATTACATGGCTAACCTGTTATGCCACATTCATAGATACACACACTGTGCCACTCACATAGGTTGATTGTGGACTTTGCAAGTTGCATGTGAACAAAAGCCATTTGTGCAACTTCCAGTTGTTGTTAGGAGAGCTGCACAGCCTTCCCTGACCAAAGATATCTTTCTGTCTTATCTATCATCTCACCTTCACTTCTCATGCTAATCCCTTCTGCAATGATGAGTATCCGGAGGACAGAGGCTGCACCAGTTTATTTGAACACAGAGGCCATTGTCTGGAGCAAAGTCTGGATGCAGCTGGTATTCACCTAAGTAATTATTAAATAAATAAATGAATGAATGGGTACTTAATGTATAATTGAGAATGATCTTGTTGGCAGTCGACTTCCTGTTTTCTTCTGCTGTATCTATTTGCATGTCCGATCATAGCTATAGTGTTTGTTTCAAGGTGTGCCAGATCCTTTGGTATGCTGGTGGTTTTAAATTTCTAGCCATTGATAAGCATATAACTATAGCTCAGATGTGGTATGCAGAGAGTTTAAAATAGGTTATATGATGGAAGCTGGGGTGAGGGCTACAAGAGTTTGGATGGACAGAGAAGGCCTGTTTGGGGAAGTGTTGTTGGCTCTGAGATAAAAGGAATGAGGACAAGCCAGCCACGCAGTGACCTGGGGAAGAATTTCTAAGCAGAGGGAAGAACAGGTGCAAGGATTCACAGGGAAGATGGTGCCGGGTTGGTAGCTTGGAGGCCTGGGCAGCACAGAAACCAGCTGAGCTTCAGCCAGGTCTTTAAGGTTGTCTCTGCATCAGGCATCTTGCACTTCAGTTCAGCAAGTGTTTATCAAGTGCCACCCACCTCCTGAGTGCTGTTTTGGGGTCTGGAAAGCCAGCTAATAAAAAAGCCAATGAGTCCTTCATTGGTCTTCCAGAGCTTATATATTGGTGGGAGGAAATAAACATCTACTGTTAAAGGTTGAATTGTATCCCCCCCGTACAGATAAAATCTTAATATATCTCTATGACCTTATTTGGAAATATGAACTTATTTGGAAGTAGAGTCATTGAAGGTGTAATTAGTTAAATTAATAGGAGGTCATTAACTAGTTAAATTAATAATAGGTGGAGTAACATGGGCCCCTAATCTAATCTGACTGGTGTCCTTATAAGAAGACAACCACAGAGAGACACAGACATGCAGAGAGAATGCCATTAAAGATGGAGGCAGAGAGTGGAGTGATGCATTTACAAGCCTATGTGCCCCAGGAATGACCAGTCATTACCAGACGTGAGGAGAGAAGCTTGAGATAAATTCCACTTCACAGCTGCCAGTTGGAACCAACCCTGCCAATACCTTGATTTCCAACTTCTGGCCTTTAGGATGGTGACAGAATAATTTCATGTTGTTTTAAGACATCCAGTTTGTAATACTTTCTATGGCATCCCTGAAAAAATAATGTAACTATTGAAAAATTTATAATTATGTCAGGTTGTGATAAATGCTAAAAGATTATAAGAAAAATAAAGTAGGTAAAGGGACAGAGTAAACAGAAGTACAGGGGTTCTCCTTCAGACACAGTGGTCAGGGAGGGCTTCCCTGAAGAGCAGAGCCCCAAAGGGAGTAGGGGGAGGACCGGTGGAGAGATGTAGGACGAGAGAGTCTCCCCAGCCACCCTGAAGCGGCTGGCCCTGGTGTGGCCAGGGTTCTGTGCTGGGGCTGAGGGTTGGCGTGGAGTGAGTGAAGGAGCAATGAGGGGGCTAGGTCATGGAGGTGGCTGAGGCCGGCAATTTGCATGAATTTGTAGGCTTTGAAAGTACTTTGGATTTTATTCCGAGTAGGATTGGAAGCTACTGCAGGGTTTTGAGCCATTTGACGTCCAGTTTCTGTTTGTAAAAAGCACTCGGCTGTTGCGTGAAGAACAGAAGTGGGAGGGGTAGGCAGCATCAGGGAGACCCTTGCCCCCCTGAATGGGCATGCCTGTAGTGCAGGTAAGGAGGCATGGTCAGGTCGAAGATGCAGGTGAACACAGAACTGAGAGGGGCCGCTGATGAACTCTGTGTGGGATGTGGAGGGAGGGGTCTTTAACAATGACTCTGTAGTTTTGATCAGAGTGACTTGAAGAAGTTGGGTTTCATTCAAAGAAAAGAGAATGGGGAGTAACTGGTGTAGGGGAGAAGATCAAGAGTTCAACTTTGGGTGATTTTTGTGTGAGATGTTGATCAGGCATCCAATCCGACATGTTAATAGGCAGTTGGATATATAAAAGTCCAGAGTTCAAGGCAAAGGTCACTTTGGAAGTCAGCAGCTTGTAGCTGGAATTTAAAGTCATCTCAGTTTGTTGTGTACCTGGAAGGACATTTACTTCTATCCCATGACATTCATTCATGTATCTAAACCTTTCAGTTTGTCTCTAGCTGTGCACAAAGTAGAACTTTCAGGCCAGTAACTGGACCATGGGTTCCAAGAATTGCCAGCTGAGAAGCATTGTCCTGGTGCAACATCCATGACCTGTCAGTGCCACTCCAACACAGAAAAGTAAACTAAGAAGCTCCCAAGCTCTTTTTGCTTTCTTTTTGCCCATTTTGCTATGGAATCTGAAAGAGAAGTTCAACTTGAGGGTAAGGGTACAAAATGATCCTCATAAACAGAAGCAATTTCTTTTATGAAACCAGAGAGTCCCTGAGCACACGATTTAATTCAGCATCCCTATCTTTAGGTGTTGGTATGTCACAGGCAGGACAATCTTCCTAGAGGGTGACCCATGCTTCAACCTGCAGCTACATTTTTACGGGGTATCTTCTCAGTCTCTGGAGGAAAGAGGAAACTGCAGACTTTATTCCTTCAGTTGGGATTTAAGGGCCTGTGTCTGTAAAATAGTTCCCGTCACTTGAGATTTAAGGGCCCTGTAGTAATGAGTAAGTCACCAATGTGAATTTTGTCACTTGGACTCTCACTTGACAACCAAAGCTGTCTTCTTTGTTTCTTCTTCTTTTTAAACTTACCCATTTTGTTGACTCTTTTTCTTTAGAGTTGGAGGCAAGTGAGAACAAGCTATTACTCGATTATAGCTGAGTTTTCAGAGTTATTAAATGCTTGAAGCACAGTGGGTTTTGTGGAATACTAGTCCATGAAATGTTCTGTGTCCAACGGGCTCATGTTCAAATAAGTTTGGACACAGGATGTTTTATATAACTCCCTTTTGAAGAATGACAATGTATGGGTTCTATATTCTGTGTAGTATCTTACTCTAAAACTTACACATATAAATAGCAAACCTTCATTATCTCAGACTATCTGTGGGTGTGGGATATAGCAGGGGATGAGCTGGATGGTTTGGCTCAAGGTCTCTCGTAACGTTGCATTCAAATGTTTTCAGGGTAGCAGTCATCCAAAGGCTCCACTTCGGCTGCAGGACCCATTTCCTTGTTCACTCATGTAGCTGGCGGAGGAAGCCTCAGTTTCTCACCACTGGGACTCTCCATCAAGCTGCTCACAATGTAGATTTTTTCCTAAGGGAGATAGAGAGAATAAGAGAGCCCCAAGACAGAAGTCACAGTCTTTTATAACGTAATCTCAGAGGTGACAGACAACCACTTGTGCTGTATGATACTGATCACAGACGAACTATGGTCTAATATGGAAGGATTTATATTTGGGTGTGTCTACCAGAAGGCTGGGATCACTGGGGGCCAACTGAGGGCATACGTGAGGCTAGCTAGACCTCACAGGGATCTCTGCCTAATTACTACTTTCGACATGAACATGTAATGTAGCAGCATTAGTGGAAGGATGGTGCTTCAAGCTTGGGTAACACATTGCTGACTGCAGCTCAAATAGGGCCAGACCTCCTTTTATACTTGGTAAAATATCAACTCTATCTTGGCTCAAACCACCAGAGATTGTAGGAGCACACATACTCAATAACATTCTACTTTCTATCATGTTTGTTCTTCCAGTGTCTTGTTGACCTGCTGAAAATATATTTTTAAAATTAAACTAAATACATGATTCTTTCTCTGGCACAACCCACCTCTTTCTTGGACAGAATTCTAGACCCAGAATGTCAAATGTCTCCTTGGTAAAGACATTTGGGATTGGAAGAAGAGCAGAAGCTAGACATGGTACAGATGGTGATATTATCTTTGTTCTAATTTGATTGAATGATTTATTTGTAAATACCTTTAAACAGACAATGAGTCTATGAGTATCAGGAGCTGTGTCAACCTCATATTTCTAGTGTCTAGTACAGAGCCTGGTACATCCTTACAAGATACTCAGTTACCATTGGTGAATTAAGAACTCTCTGTTTTTCACAATGTCCTAGTACAGATATATCAGTCATCGTTGATGCTTTATGGCCTGCAGCACACTGAATTTGGCTGTTGTTCCACTATCTCCTTTTATATAGCAGTCAATTGCCCTGAGCATGGCTCAGAATATATTGCTCATTAAAGTGAGTTCCAGACACGACTGCAAGGGCATTAGCCTGATGCTCCAAAGTAGCAGAAAGTCTCCAGGGCATCATGTAATTATTCATTTGCTAAATAACACAGACACACAATGGCTTAATTACAGTATTTTGCTGTGAAATAGAATTGTAGTGATTTCCACATCAGAGTATCTCATTAATGAGATTTGCTAAGTGTTATTGGCAATATCGTGAAATGCCCTTTTGTTTTAAATCATTTTCTAAATTGCTAATGTCATTTGTGGGACAGAAAATTTCCCAAACTCTCTTGTGGAGGTGAAATGTTAGTGCTTCAGAAAATTCTCACTGTTAATTTCTTCCCAGGTGGCAAGACTTGAGAGTGTGTAAAAACTGCATTTTTGACATCTCAGTGTATCTCCACATCATCAGCATTCAAGTTATTACCAAGCATCAAGAATACAAATATTGGATTTTTCACCAAGAGCCTACAAACCTGAATACGCAAATGGTTGAGTGCCCCATTTTGTATCTGAGCTCTGCCACAAGTCATCTACATGACCCTGGTCAAATGCTTTGCTGGGCCCCAGTCTCCTCAAGGGAAACATATCTAGGTTCATTTGTGGATTCAACAAATATTTGCATAAGGGTCCCAGGCTCTTTCCTAGGCACTAGGAATAGAGCTGCAAACAGGACTAGACAGAGCTCCTGATTAACAGCGGCTTATCTTCTAGCAGCAGAGACAGACAAGAAGCTTGTAACTGAGTGTGTGCCTAAAATATTCCAAGCTAAGTATAATTTTTTTTTGTAGGTAAAGGAAATTGGGTAATTTAATTAAGAAATCCTCAAGAATGCCTCCTACAAGGAGGATGGCCAGGGAAAGCTTCTCAAGGAGGGTGACCTATTAGCAGAAATTTGAATAATAAGAAAGAGTCAGCTTCAGAAATTTGGGAAGAGCATTCCAGGCAGAGGGAATGACTAAGACAGAACCCTGGGGTGGGAGCCTATTGTTCTCACAAAGTGTCGTCTAGCAATAAAATTCAGTGATTTCGACATGAGAAATTTCAAAGTTATGTATTGTTTCTCCCAGAAGGTCAGTCACATCATAGGTTATCCAATTCTCATGGGTTTTATTTTCTTGTCTTAATCTAGGATGAGCTTTCCTCCTAAACGCTTCCTCCTTGATTAACTGCACCTTATCTGACAAAGTCCCACCCCTCTGTTACTTAGTGCAACCAGCTGGTTGACAATAGTAAAACAAGAAAATCCTTCCAACCAAAGGAATCTTCTTGTAGATCCTTGTTTCTTGCCTTCCTCTTAATGACCAGTAATGACCAAGAAAATGGATGGAATTTAAAGGATATAATTTACTTAATAGCTTTAGTCAGGCCTGAATATGAAATATGCCAGAACATAGAATCTCGTCTCCATCGTTTCAGACCTTGTTGCCCATTGAGGCGCTCCTTCTGCTTGCTAGTCCGTGTTCCATGAAACTGTGCAGGCACCACCAGGGCAACAAGTGGCTCACCCCATTGATGCATCCAGGCCAGTGCCCTCCTGGTCTTTGGAAGACGTCAGAAGAATGTGTGGAACATGCGTGTACACATTAAAAAGGGCTATTCCTTCTCTTGGTTGAGCATCTATCTAACCCAATCTAATCTATCAAGCAACAAAGTGCTCAGCCTTCTAACCTTGGGTACGTTGTTGGTTGGTTGGTTAATTGATTCATTTATTTATTTACATATTCACACATATTTTTATTTTTAGTTCCTATTGCCTGAGGGTCTACTATGTGCCTTTTTCCTTCATACAAAAAAGTGGGCATATGATCAACCTTCGTCATACATGATACTATGATAACATTATTATATCCATGCTCTATATTCAGAACTTTGTATGTCTGGTTTATAGTTATTATTCATGCCTCCCCTCAAATACCTTCTACGCAGAAATGCACTGGGAATGGCCCCAACAACACGTACACATGGTTACGTTTTCGTACAATTAGCAAAAGTAAGACAATTTAATGTCAGCTGTTTGAGATCTCTGTTTCTTTCCACTTCCACTTTCTCCTCTGTCACATTTGACCTCATGCTGAGTGGTCCTGAAGTGGCTGTGATAATTTAGGGAAACTGACCAAGGGGAAGCTAAGTCAGATAACTATTTAATTTGGGTTTAGTGAGATATAATTAGTCATGCATTGCATAACAACATTTCAGTCAATGATGGTTGGAAACATGAGAGAAAAGAAAGGAGCAGGTGACCTGAAATAGGAATGAAGGATGTTATGAGATTTGCTCGTCGTGTGATTAGTCAACATTCTTACTATTGTAAAACATTAATTTGCTGAATTAAAGACAACCTGACCATAAATTTGGATATCTTTGTTGTTGTTTCTTGTTCTTATCGTGTGTGTTGCTGAAGAGGTAAAACCAGATGTGCAGATATGAGGTGGAAGCTGTGCAATCTTCCTTCGACTATTCAGGAAAACCACTGACTATTTAAGCTTAATAAAGTCAAATTTCTGATAAATGTGTTTATTATCAACTTCCATAAAAGTAAATGTGTTTAATTGTTTCAATATAAAAAAGGGAAATTTGAGTTAAAACCATCCAACACATTCACACTATTTGTGATCTGTGAATTAAGGGCATAAAGCAACTAGCTTGATAATCCCTTGACAGACTAATAAATGAGAATAATATTTTTACAATGGAAAATTGGTATAATTACAAAGCTATTAACTTTTTCTCATACTCCCCCATTATATTATAAGTAAGCCACAGGGAACTTTCCTTGAAAATAAATTTTCAAATTAACCTTTTGGTTTAAAAACTATCTAATTTAATCATTTTGTTAAGTCGAAGTACATGACTGTGAATATTTGGAAGCCTGGTTCCTGTATTTTGTGTTTTTTTTTTTTTATTCTTTCCTCCCACTGTGTTTTTGGGAGATCCAGAGGCATGCAAGCATTCAGGACCCAGCATGTGCTGAACACCGTGCCTACTGCTAAACAGTATTTTGGTCTGCATGGCACTCCAATGAGGTAGGTAGTAATTATTAGTCTCATTTTACAGACGATAAAACTGAGGCACTAAAAGTTGATGTTACTGATAGCCTTGGGGTTTTGTTTTGTTTTGAGATGGAGTTTCATTCTTGTGGCCTAGGTTGGAGTGCAATGGCATGATCTCAGCTCACTGCAACCTCCGCCTCCCGGGTTCAAGTGATTCTCCTGCCTCAGCCTCCTGAGTAGCTGGGATTACAGGCATGCGCCACCATGCTCGGTTAATTTTCTGTTTTTAGTAGAGATGGAGTTTTGTCATCTTGGTCAGGCTGATCTTGAACTCCTGACCTCAGGTGATCCACTCGCCTCAGCCTCCCAAAGTGCTGGGATTACTGGCGTGAGCCACCATGCCCGGCCTAGCCTTGGGGTTTTAATCCATGTTCTGGCTTAATAAAAAGAATTGAAAACTCTTCCCTTCTATTTTCTGAAATATATTATCTAGAATAAGCCATGTTTACCTCTGAAATGTCTGGCAAAATATGTCAATGAAACTATCTGGCCCTGAAGTTTTCTTTGTTGGAAGGTTTTTAACCACAAATTTAATTTTATACACAAATGCACACACACATGTATGTGTGTTTGCAGGTATGTATGAATTCAGGTTATCTGTTTCTTCTTCAATATATTTTGATAGTTTGTGTTTCTCAAAATAATTAGTTTATTTCATTGAAGTTATTGAATTTATGGACATAAAATTGTTTTTAGTATCTCTTATTATCCCTTTAATGTTTGTAATATTGCTAATGATGTCTCCTCTTTCATTGCCAATTCTGGTAGCTTGTGTATTCTTTTTCTTTTTTTCTGGGTCTATCCAGCTATGAGTTCATCAATACATATTTTTACCTCTCTCTCTCCCTTTCTCCCACATTCCCTCTCTCCTTCCATTCCTTCTTGCCTGTAGAAAAGAGAACATACTTTGCAACCTTAAACAATTATAAACAATTTTAAGTTTTTTAGATTTATTCAGTTGCAAGTGACAGTAATACAAATTAGAGGTTTTTGATCAGAAAAGGAAATGTATTCACTCATGAAATGAAAAATCTCTGTTCAAGAATCAGATTTGATTCATTGGTTTTTATCTATTTTTTCAATATTATTGAATATCATTTCTCTTTGATTTATCTTCTGGGCTTAATTTGCTTTTCTAGTTCCCATTTTCTAAGGTGGAAGCTTAGATAGTTAAAAATATAATACAAGCATTTAATGCCACAAATTTCCTTTAAACTCTGATTTAGCTGAATCCTATACGTTTTGATTTTTTTTCCAAAAGCATTTTCATTTAGATTCAGTTAAAAATATTTTTAAAGCCTTTTTTTCATTTAGATTCAGTTAAAAAATATTTTAAAAGCCTTCTATCAAATTTGGCCCATAAGTTACTTAGAAGTGAGATGTTTAATTTCCAAATATTTAGTGGGTTTTCAGATCTATTTCTAGTTTAATTCTGTTATAATCCATGTACATAGTTAGTATTCTTACTTATATTATCTTAAACTTGCTAAGATTATTTCTGTGGCTCAGAACAAATGGTCCAGCTTGGTGGATGCCCCATGAGTTCTTGATCAGAATGTGTATATATTATTTGTTAGATGAGGTGTTCTATAAATGTCAATTAGGTCATTGCTAGTTTATAGTTTTGTTCAGATTTCCTTTGTCCTTACTTACTGTCTGTATATTTGTTCTATTAATTATTGAGAGAGGAGCACTAAAATATCAAGTTATTATTTTGGATTTGGATTTGTCAATTTTTTTTTTGTTCTTACTAGTTTTTGTTTCATGCATTTTTAAGATCACACACATTCAGAACGGTCATTTCTTGGATTATTGACTCCTTTGTCACTATGTAATGCTTTTTTATCCCCTGCAATATAGTTACATTGCCTGATGTTAATATTAATACATCTACTCCAACTTTCTTTTGGTTAATGTTTCCATTACATATCTTTTCCCCACCACGTACAAGTTACTTTTAACCTATCTATGTCTTTATTTTTTAATGGCTTTATTTTAAACAATATATAATTAGGTACTTTGTAAACCCAATTTGACAACCTTTGCCTTTTAACTGGTATGTTTAGGCCATGCACATTTAATGTGATTATATGCATTATTTGATTAAAATATACCATCTTGTTAGGTTTGTTTTCATTCATTTTTTTGGCTCACAGAGAAAATTTTTATGATTTCATTTTGTCTCTTTTATTGATTTATTATTTAACCTCTTTAAATATTTTAATGATTTCCCTAAGTCTTATAATATACATCTAGAATTACCAGAGTGTACTTCCAAATAATATTATACCTTTCACGTGTAAGATAAATTCCTTATAACAATATATTCCCAATAATTTCCTATAATTCTCTATGCTTTTGTTTACATATTTGTTACTTTTACAAGTGATCTCAATACACGTCCTCAGCCCTGTTAAATGAGACTTCCTTAGAACTCTCTCTAATGTTTTCTGTGAGTGCCTGTTAGAGTTTTTGGAGAAAAACCCTGAAGGCAGTTCAGACTCTGGATTTCTGTGGTGGTCGGTGACTTCACACTATCTCACCAATGTGCTCTTGGCCTTCACCATTTGCCAGTCAACCCAGCCAACCTCCCCTTACTAGTATCCATGGCCATCTGCCCCGTTTAAGTCCAGGTTCACACTTTGTCTATCCTTATGTTACCTGCTTCTCCTTAGATTTGAGGTCCTGTTGTTTGCTTTGTGAACTTAGCTCTCTGACGGGTTTGAGAAAAGTTGACAACATGGTGTTTGGTCTAGCTTTCCATCACCGTAAAGTGAGAACAATGCTTTTTCCTGCTATCTGTGTCTCTCTTAAGAAACTGAGAGTAAAATAAAAGTGTGTAGCACCTCCCCACTCTCTTTCTTCCTCCTGCTCTGGCCACGTGAAGCTCCTCACTCCAACTCTGCCTTCTACCATGATTGGAAGCTTCCTGAGGCCTCCTCAGAGGCAGAAGCCACTATGCTTCCTGTACAGCCTGCAGAACCATGAGCCAATTAAAGCTCCTTTCTTTATAAATTAAAAAAAAAAAAAAAAAAAAGAGAGTAACCTCACCACTTCCTCCTGAGGAACCAGTTGCACATCCCCACTTCCCACCACAGCCCTTTGCTTATTAAGGTGGGATTGATGGACTCCATGGTCCCAAGGTGGTGTGGCCCTAGGACTCAGGCCTGCACACTCAGCTTTGTTAATCCCCTGGACACATAGATTAGATCAAGCTTGGATACCTTAATGGAATTTGGGGTCAAAGACATTTTCTTTGCTTTGAAATTGCTGGGGAAAAAAATGTTACGGGTTTGGAGCTGCTGAGAGTCACCATGGGAAAAGAGTCTTTTTAAGATGAAGACACTAACAAAGAAGTAGAGATAAAATGACATTTTAAAATTTATTTTACTTTAGATCCAGATATACTTGTTCTGGAAGATTTTAATACATGAGCCGAGGCTTTTCCTTTTTGTGTGTGTGTTTTTTTAAACCCTCTAATTTGGAATTCTGTCACTTGAAACTCTAGGAATGCTGACAAATTCAAATCATTTATAATTGTTCATAGTTGGTGAGAGTTACCTCACCCTCATTCTACATCAAGTCAAAAGATATTTATGTATTGCTTTATGTGTCAGTCACTAGTGTATATTGATTTGCAGCAATATTAAGAAAATCTTGCTTGCTCAATACTTTCTACTCTTCAGAGCACTTTCATGTATATGGTTTTTTGTGATACAGAAATTCTTTTGATTTGTGTATATGAGTGTGTTAGTTTCCTATTCTGCTGTAACACATTACCACTAACTTAGTGACTTAAAACAACACAAATTTATTATTGTATGGTCTATAGGACAGAAATTCAGTATGGGTTCCACTGGACTAAACTCAGGGTGTTGGCAGGGCTCTCTTCCCTTTGGAGGCTCTTCAGGGAGTCCATTTCCCATATCTTTTCACCTTCTAGAGGCTGCTTACATTCTTTAACTTGTAGCGCCTTCCTCCATCTTCAAAGCCAGCCACGGTGGCTCAGGTCCTTCTTACATTGTATCACTTTAACCTCCTCTTCTGCCTCCTTTTTCCATTTTTAAGGACCCTTGTGTTGCACTGGGTTCACCAAGATTATCCACAATAATCTCCCATCTCAATGTCAGCTGATTAGGAATGTTAATTTTATTGGCAACCTTGGTTCTCCTCTGCCATGTAACCTAACATACTCACAGGTTCTGGGGACTATGGTGGGGACCACTTTGGGGGTCCTTTATTCTGCCAACCAGAGTGTGGCAGGAACTTTACATATGAAACCGCAGAGACACATGATGATTGTACAAGGTCACATGAGTTGGAAATAGAGTCTTACTAGTACACCTGTCCCTGTTTTTCTCTCCACTGTATTTTCCCTTCAAAATGATAAACTTTTTGCTTTCATTCCATGCCCATGCCAATTTTTAGTAGAAGTCCTCTAACTACAATGTTTGATGAAATAGCTGTCTGGAAAGTGAGGAATTTGTACAGAAGTAAAAGGTACATTACTCTCTTTTATGTCTATTTGGGAATCGTGTGTTGGTGTGATGGTATCAACAATTCAGTATCATTTACCACGCACTGCAGCTGTGAGTTTTCATCCATGTTTCCCATAAGATTTTCTGTGCAGTTGGTGAAGCCAGATTTGCTCTGGGAAACATTTTCCAACAGTAGTTAGCAGCCAAGATGGAGATGGCTTTGTAGGTCCCCAACATTAAAATACAATTTATTTTATCTTTCAATGACAATTTCCAGAAGGCACGCACAAGCTAAAAATCCCCATTTGTTGGTTAGAACTGTGGATACCCCATGGCAGAGTTAGACTCCTGTGCATTGTATTGTATCAATGGATCTGAAATGCAAATATCTTTGTTTTCTCCTCTATTCTCTGGACAGAAACTACCGTACCAAAGTTCTTTATGAGCTGTATCTTCAGTGCATCTTTAGTTTTTATTAAAGTTTGGAAGCAAGAAAGAGCAGAGATGTTGTAAATACGAGATCCTAGTTAATGTCATTTTGAAAATGAGCTATGAATGTAGGTCTTATTTTTGGGATTAGCTCCTTCTCTGACTGTACTAATTGTTCATATGACAGAAAAACAACATAATTTGTATCCTTTGGCAACTTTTAAGTACATATTTTCCTCTGAGATTTTTTTTTTTTTATTTTTGCTTTTGTAAGTCAGCCTTCCCTTATGGTTACAGTTAATTTCCCTAAATGCTCCATCTCATGAAGAATAAATTAAGGGAGAAACACAAATTCTTGTCCAACATAGATATAATTGAAGATATAATTGAAGTGAAAGCTCTCTTCTTACTCCAGTCAGTTGTCAACCTGAATGTTTTTCTTGCAGGTCAGATTGGAAAGAAAATGCTGCCATTTGTAGCTAGTAAATGTCAGTGTGGCTCTGCCAATGTTAAATATTTTGGTCATTTTCTCTACTTGGAGGTGAGGTTGAATGATATCAAAATATCTGAGGGTGACAGAAAGTTCTTTGTCATTTCTTCTCTCCCCTTCCCTGGTTCTTTTGAATTTTGGAAACCCTTTCAAATGGAACATCTGTAAGGAAAATGTAGCCTAGGCTAATATGCGTGTTTGTGTCTTAGTTTTCAATAGAAAGTTTAAAAACTAATAAAATTAAATAAAAATGCTTATAGAATAAGGATACAAAGAAAGAAAATACTTTTGTACAGCTGTACAATATGTGTTTTAAGCTAAGTTTTATTAAAAAGAGTCTAAATGTCTTTAAAAAGTAAGCGTTTATAAAGTAAATCATTGTGTAGTAAGTTATGGTTAACTTATCACTGAAGGCAAAATAAATAAACTTAATGTTGCCTAGGTGGACAGTGTTTGCAAAGTCCATAGTAGTATATGGTAATGTCCTGGGCCTCACATTCACTCACCCCTCACTCACTGACACCCAGGGCAACTTCCAGTCCTATAAGCTTCATTCATGGTTAGTGCCCCCCACATGTGTATCATTTTTTCTTTTATAACATATTATTACTGTACCTTTTCTATGTTTAGCTACACAAATACTTACCATTATGTTGCAGTCGCCCTCAGTGTTCCGTACAGTAACATGCTGCACAGACTTGTAGCCTAGGAGTGACAGACTATTCCATATAGCCTGGGTGTGTAGTAGGCTAGTCCGTCTAGGGTCTAGGTTTGTGTCAGTATACTCTACAATGTTCACACAATGACAAAATCTCCTAATGACAGATTTCTCACAATGTATCCCCATCATTAAATGATGCATCATTGTATACATATATAAATAAAATATTTCTTCATTTTCATATATTAATAATATATTTATATGATTATATATATATTGTAATGTTTTCAGACATTGGACATTAGGCAGAAGAATTCTGTGACTCCTGTAAAAAGAGAAATGCCTGTGGTGAGTCTTGCAATTGTTCCAGCTTTCTGCCTGGGGCGCTGGCCAGTGTGCAATGCAGAAAGGGGATTCCAAGTTTATAGAACATGGTGGTTTCTGAGGCAGGGAGACAGAGATTGGTTTTGGGAGGCTGAACTATCTGAGCATCAGGTTATGGAGCTGGAGGAAGCAGCATCATAGGGGTCATGATCATCTGCTTCGGAATTTAAATTCTTGGATTGAAAACACAACCCTATGCGTTATTAGCTTAGTGACTCCAGGAAACATCCTCCACCTCTCATTGTGTACTTCGTACATGTATAACAGTCAGGACTGGTACCCACCTCCTGTGGGGGAGTCCTACCTGGGCATGGCAGCAGCCCCTCCGCAGGTCATGACAGTACTGGTGGATCCACCCAGGCCTCACTTCAGAGCTTCCACTCTTCTTCTGCCCCCAAGGAAAAGCTGGTCTCAGAGGGCCCTTAGAGTACATCTAGTCCATTCTCCTCATTTTTGTAGATGGTAAAACTGAGGTTCAGAGAATGGAAGCAAGTTGCTCAATCTTCCCAAGATAGTGGCAAAAAGGGAAAAAGATTGAAAGTCTCAGAATTCTTAGACCAGCGCCATTTCCATGCAAGCAGATGCGGTCCTAAACTGTACTTACTTTTAAGGCCCTTTTTATACTGGTGAGCCAAAGTTGAATTATGTCTCCAACTCAGCATAAAGGCTTTAGAATAGTTGCTTATTTTCATCCTAACAAAGGCACAGATGCAGGGCCATCAAATACAGATGTGCTGGTTGCATACTGCACAACTGTAGAGGGCACATTTACATCATAATCCAGGTGAGTAACACTTCCCCAAGGTTTTTTTTTCTTTTTTTTTTTTTTAAATCAAACGTACTCTGTATTTTACCTAAGAAAACTTAGACTAACTCAAGGATGCAAAAGTTTTTCTCACTTTTTTTTCAAGAAATTCAATAGTTTTAGATTTCACATTTATATTTGGGATCCATTTGGAGTTAATCTTTGCATATGGCATGAAATGTGGATCAAAGTTTATTTTTTGCGTATGGCTATTACATTGTTCTAGTATTATTTTTTTAAAAGAATATTGTTTTTTAATTTAATTGTCATTCCAGCTTCATCAAAAACTGCATGTAAATGGCTTCCCATTTTAAATTATAGCCAGTGTCAAATATTCCAGAAATAAATACACTAACTAAATAAAGCAAGAGCTATTATTAATTTTAACTTTACTCCAAAACCCATTACTGACAAAATACCCTTGATGCAGTTTGAAAATTCACCTTTTCCCATCTTTCATCTGCAAGAGTGCTTTCTAATAGCAAAGACTGCTAAAACTAAGGGGAAAAAAGACAAGTCTCAGACTGTGAAAAATAATTGAAAAATCACATATTTAATAAATGACTTGTATTCAGAATATATAAAGAACCCTCAAAACTTAATAAGAAAACAAACAACCCCTTAAATGTGAGCAAGTTATTTAAGAAAGTGTTGTACTAAAGAAGATGTACAGATGGTAAATTAAGCACATGGTTTAACATCATGAGATATTAAGAAAATGAGAAATTAAGAAAATTAAATCCACAGTGAGATACCACTACACATCTATTAGAGTACCTAGAATGAAAATTGACCTTCCCAAGTGTTAGCCAGTTATGTGGAGGCACTCCAACTCTCAAACCCTGCTGGCGGGAATGTAAAATGGTATTTTACTTTGTAAAAACAGTTTGTCAGTTTCATAAAATGCCAAACGCAATGCAATCATAATGTTAAGGACATTATTTTTATTTACAAAGGATCTATGAAAAAATAAGAACAACGGACTGTCTTTACATACCCTCCATCAAAAGACCAAAGAAGAAAACAAAAGCCGAGATGTGGCTTCTGGCTGTGTCTTTACATGGTGGAAGGGACTAATGAGCTCCCTGGGGCCTCATTTACCAGAGCACTAATTCCATTCACAAGGACTCTGCCTTCATGACCTAATCATCTCCTAAAAGCCCCACTTTTTAATACTGTTGCATTGAGGGTTAGGTTTCAATATATGAATTTGGGGTGGGGGACACCAACATTCAGAACATGATGATATTTTACTGAGAAATAAAAAGAAGCTGAAGAAAGTGTTATCTCTCTTGGCTACATAATTCTGCTGAATTCCCTTTTGTAAGGGATAAGAGTGGTTAAGTGAGACAGAGAAAATATAGACCATAAATCAGAATAATTGTATCACTTTTCTGTCTGCTTGGCTCAGTTTTTTTTTTTTGACAAACTTTAAAAATTAGGCTAGGATTGCTTTTGAGTTTGAAACTTTTTATAATTCATTCAGCCATCTCTAAGTGCAAGTAAAATATATAGTATTCTAAAAAAGAGGGATATAAATTTAAGTTTGATTGAAAACACAGTGGGAGGTAAAGTGTTTGGGCCATTAAGACATAAATTATCATTTGCATGAAATAGGTGAGAGCTTGGTTCTAATAGAGCTGGTATTAAATCAGATTAAAATTTCCTGGGTCTGATTATAAGTACCTAGGCATCCTCTTCTCAAATACCCTCAATATTCCATAAATTCTCATCCTTCCACCAGTAAAAATGTGTGTGATGAGGAAGATTAGTTTTAAGGTATCCTACACAAATTATTTCTTTCCATTTTGATCGAGTCTCAACATGATACATAGAGTTAGCATACATTTTCAGATTTGTTTCTACAGAGTTATCTGCATGAGAAAGTCAAGTTTTAAATGACAGTGGTTCCTGGGAATAGATGTTCCAACTTGTAGTCAGCTTTCTGTATTAAATTATTTCATTATTGTTTGAAAAAGTCATTTTCTCATTCTTTTACACTATACATCATATTTTTCCTTATTTTTTACACTTTTTGTTATCATTTTCTCTCCCCAAATATTAACCAAAATACATTTTGGTGTAACTACAGGATGCAGAGTAGATGACAGTATTACATGAGCAACTGATGCTGACTTGTCAACTTAAAAACCAGCACTGAATTCTGTGACCACTTTTATCCCTGTAGGTTGTACAGTGGTAACATCAAAAGAGGCTTCATGAAAGCCTCCTATGATACTGTAATGCTCCAGAGGGGTACTGTCCAACAGAACCTTGTGCAACGATGTAAATGTTCTATACGCATGCTATCCAATATGGTAGCCAATAGTCACTTGTGACAACCAAGCCACTGAAACGTGGCTGGTGCAATCAATTAACTAAATTTTTATTTTTAAAATTAATTTCAATTTAGATGGCCATATGGATATTGAAGCTAACACATGAAATAACACAGGTCTAGAGACATTTACATCTAACTTCCTGGTATGGAAGAAAAAAATAGTAATTCTTACCTTTACCAAGAAAGGTATAAGTAGCATACCTTCTGTCTTTCCTCTTAGTATAAAACTATTGGATGGAATATGCTATCTTTGGTGACTTTAGTTAATAAAAAAGACCATTTGTTAATTGATCATTGTGGCCCACAATATAACTTACTGTTTATAATCAAACTTTCCTCTCTATGTCTGTTGTAGGTGTTATTGGACATCAACCTAGTATCTGGTCCATCTAACTATGTCTGGTTATCTGGTTACAGAACTGCGGTAGACTGATATGTTGGTTCCTTTATCACTTGACTTACTATTTCCTTCCCCTAAAGCGGAGGTATGTATGCAGGCCCCTTGAATTTTGGTTCATTTTGCTCCTTGCATTGCCCAACAGAATGAAGTGATAGTGTTGCTTTGCCCAATCAAAGCCTGGGCTTTAGGAAGCCTTGTGTGTTTTCACTTGCTTTTTGAGCTTCTGCCTGCTCTGTGAGAAGAACAAGGAAAGAATGGTCTAATGTCCCAGGAGGAGTATAAAAGACAAATGAGGCAGAGTGGTCCAGTCAAAGCCAACATAGATTAGTCAGCTTCCACCTTTCCTGACACTTGAGTAATAACATTTTTTGTTGATTTTCTTAAGTAGTTTTTATTATAAAACAAACACAAGAAGGGGCAAACAAAACACATAATAAAATGGTAAACCTGAATGTAATCTTATCAACACTTACATAAAATCTAAATGATCTTAACTCACCAACCAAAAGATAGAGATCATAAGATGAATTCATGAAAGAACCAATTATACATGATCTATAAGAAACCCATTTATAATAATGACATAGATAGGCTAAAAGTAAAAGGCTAGCAGAAAATATACCTTGCAAGTACAGAGCAAAGGAAAGATGAGTTAAATTAATATCAGAAAGAGTAGACTTTAGAACAAGGAAAATTATCAGGATTATAGAAGGTCAGTACATTAGGATAAAATGGTCATTTCACCAAGGAGATATAACAGAAATAAATGTGTGCATCTATTAGCAGAGCTACAAAATACATGAAGAAAAATGAATAGAATTGAAAGAGGAAATATACAAGTCCACAACTACACTTGAAGACATCAGTACTCCTTTGTCAGTAATTTATGGAATGAGTGGGCTGAAAATTAACTAGGATATATAAAACCTATAAAACATTATAAATCACCTAGGCCTAATTGACATTCATGGAACCTTAACACCTGTTAAATCCTGGTTAATTTAATTAATTTCTGTGAGCCTCATTTTCTTCTATAAAATCAGAAAATTTAGACAACCTACTGCAGGCTTTTATCATAAAGATTAGGGATAATGCCTATAATGTACCTGGGATATGATATTTATTATTCACCCATTCTTTCATTCAACTAGTAGTTGATTGCCATCTGAGTACCAGGCACAGAGACAGACATTAACAATACAACAGTACATATGGTAAAATTGTGCTTCAAAAAGCAAGTAGTGAGAGCTGCACACATTATCCATATCATCACAAAAATGAAAAGGAGGTACGCATTGCTCTAAGAACCTGCAATAGGGAGATTTGGTGTGGTCAGGTCAAAGGGAACTGCCTGTGCAAAGGCTCAGTGGCTGGAAGGAGTGGGGGTTGGAGGACCTGAAATCGGATGTGTGTGGCTGGAGGTTTGTGGTGCACAAAGAGTGGTGGATTTGAGGCTGGGGCCATAAGAAGGAGCTACTCGTGCTGTAGTTGTAGGATAGATTCAGGCACTTGGATTATATCTCAAGGGAAATAAGCAAAGGCCCTTAACAGACATTTCTTAAAAGAAGATGTAAAAATGACCAGAACATATATGAGAAGGTGCTCAACATCACTAATTATTAGGAAAATGCAAATCAAAACTGCAGTGAGATATGGCCTTACACCTGTTAGGATGGCTATTATCAAAAAGACAAAGGATAACAGATGTTGGCAAGGATGTGGAGAACAGGGTAGTCTTGCACACTGTTGGTGAAATGTAAATTGGTACCACCATTATGGAAAACATTATGTAGTTTCCTCAAAAAATTAAAATAGAACTATGCAATGATTCAGCAATCCCAATTCTGGGTATATATTCAAAGGATGGAAATCAGTATGTTAAAGAGATATCTTCATTCTATGTTCATTTCAGTGTTATTCACAACTGCCTAGACAACCTACATGTCTGTTGATAGATGACTGTTAAGAAAATCTTATATATACAGACAGTATAACATTTTTCAGCCTTAGTACAGAAGGAAATCCTGAAATTTGTGACAATATAGATGAATGTAGATGTTATACTAAATGAATAAGCCAGACAGGGAAAGACAAATACTAAGTGATTTCCCTTCTATGTGGAATCAAAAATAGTCAAACCCATGGAAATAGAGCATAAAATGGTGATTGCCTGGAGCTGGAGAGTGGAGGAAATGGGAAAATGTTGGTCAAGGATCACAGAGTTTCAGTCATGCAAGATAAATACATTCCAGACATAGAATACACAGTATGATGACTACAGTTAACAATTCTATCTTGTCTACTTGAAATTTGCTAAGAAGTTGGACCTTAAGTGTTTTCACCACACATAAAAATGCTACTTTTGTGAGGCGATGGGTGTATTAATTAGCTTAACTGTGATAATCACAGTTTTACAGTATCTATGTATAACAAATGATCAAGTTGTACACCTTAAATATATACAACTTTTATGAAATTATCTCTCAGTAAAGCTGAAAAAGCAAAAGAACAATGGGAAGCCAGTGGAGGATTTCTTGTGTGGTGATCATATTTGCATTTTCCCCTGGCTGTTAGGTGGAGAGTAGCTGGGAGAAGGGAGATGGTCAGATCAGGGAGGCCATTTAGGAGATTTGGGCGATGTGCAGGTGAGAAATGATGATACTTGGAGTCAAAAATGGCTCATGCTCTCTTTCTTTTCTGCAGCTACTGACTGAGGTTATATCCTTCATGCATGTTGTCAATGGTGCTGGCACTTAGGTCAGGAGGAAAGCTAAACTATGATTCTCTAAAATGAGCATCGCAGGTGGCCCGGTGCTGTATTCTTCTTCTTCTTCTCTTCTTCTTCTTTTTTTTTTTTTTTGGCAGAGTCTTGCTCTGTTGCTCAGGCTGGAATGCAGTGGCACCATCTCAGCTCACTGCAACCTCTGCCTCCCGGGTTCAAGTGATTCTCATGCCTCAGCCTCCCTAGTAACTGGGATCACAGGCACACACCACCACACCTGGCTAATTTTTGTACTTTTAGTAGAGACAGGGTTTCGCCATGTTGGCCAGGATGGTCTCAAACTCCTGACCTCAGATGATGCACCCGTATGAGCCACCACGCCCAGCCAGTGCTGTATTCTTAATGCTGCCTTTGGATCAGTTGCAAGATCGCAATGTACAATATCTTTGCTAGTACCAGGCAGTGTCAGAAGCAAGCTTGCTCCCTTGATTAGCTGTGGGTCCACTCATTCAGTAAAACACTTACTGAATTCCTGGCATCAGGAAGGCCAGTGGCTTACTTCAGAGCTGGTGAGAGCTTCTGGATTGGACCCTGGGTCATTGTGTCTTTGAACACATTTTCTACATTCCAGTACTTTCTGTCTTGCAAACTCTGGAATTCAGTGAATCCCCAACTCTCCTCACCCTCAGCAGCAGATAATCCACGTGTAAAAAGACGTTTTAGAAACAGAGTTTCACTTTGTTGCCCAGGCTAGAGTGCGGTGGTGTGATCGTAGCTCACTGGAGCCTGGAACTCCTGGGTTCAAGTGATCCTCCTGCTGCAGCAGTAATGTAGAGTTTGAGCAGCATAACTCAGAAGAATAGAGTTTCTGGACTTTGAGAGTTGTGGATATTTTCAAGAGTATAGCTCTCCGTTGGGTCTGGAAACCTATATATGGTATAGGCATAAAAGGCATTGATTTTCCTTCTCTGGTGTCCTAGCCCTGCACATTCTCCCGTTTGGGCTCATCCGTTTAGTAAATGAAGACGGCATTGGCATGACTAGACTTACTCCAGTAGTAATTATTCTGAGAACTTCCTTCACGGTGCCCACCTTGGCTGGGGTCGTAGGAAAAACAGCCAAAATCTAAGTCATATTTACATATGCTGCAAGAGGCTTTAGTTTGTCCTCTTGCAATCTTGAATTTTGTAATATTTGAAAAAAATTAAGTTGCACAAATGATGCTGATCTGATCACCCAATGTATGCCCGACTATGTACTGTGGTTCCAGTGATGGAGAAAAAAGAGGTCTTTTTCAACGTGACCTATCAGAACTGAATCTTAAATCTTAAATTCTGGTAGAATTTTTCTGAAGGTAGTGGATCTGAAAGTACCTTCAGACATATCTCTCTTCGTCACTTTGGTGGCACAGATGAAGACCTTGGGGTCATCCTAGAATTCTCTCTCCTTCCATATTCACTCCATCAATAAATCCTGCCAGTGCTAATCCAAGATCCAATTACCGCTTCCCCTCCACTGCTACTCCTGGTCCAAGTGCCCACAATCTCTAACCTGGACCCCTGCCGTATCCTCATCACTGGTTTATTTCTGCCTTTACCCCCAACAGTCTACGGACAATATACCAACCAGAGTGATTCTGTTAAATTCTCTAATGCCTCTCTTCTCACTCAGAGAAAGATCCAAAGTCCTATAAAAGTAAGGAGTCCTGTAAAACAAAGCCCTACAAAACTAAGAAACTAAGGAGACAGGACAACCAAATGCAATATGTGAATCTGAATTGAACCCTGGTCTAGTATATCCATTTATTTTGCTTTATTGCTTCCATGTATTTACCATGATCTAAAACTAGATGTTTGAACATATGTGTATTTTCTTCTTGTTCATCTTCCCTAAAATATGTAAATTTCATGAATGGTTCTCAAAGTCCTAAAAGGCTTATCTGTCCTTACCCTTCATTCCTCATTATCTCTGATCGCATCAGTTACCACCGCCCCACTTGGTGAAGCCAACTCCACCACAGACATCCGGACCTACTTGCTTTTTCTTACGTATTCCAGCCACATACCTCAGGGCCTTTGTACTTCCACTCCCTGTGCCTGGGATGCTCTTCCTCTGATATCTGCATGACTCTCTCCCTCACACTGACTCGGGAGTTACCTCCTAGGTGAGGCCACACCATGCCCTAGGCACCCCCTACCCCAACACTTCCTATTTTCCTTTCCAAGTTTTGCTTATTTTCTGTGCCATTCATTCCAGCAATCCCACTGCTGGGTATCTACCCAAAGGAAAAGAAGTCATTATATGAAAAAGACACTTATGGCCGGGCCTGGTGGCTCACGCTTGTAATCCCAGCACTTTGGGAGGCTGAGGCGGGCAGATTATCTGAAGTCAGAAGATCGAGACCATCCTGGCTAACACGGTGAAACCCCGTCTCTACTAAAAAAATAAAAAATAAAAATTAGCCGGGCGTGTTGGCGGGTGCCTGTAGTCCCAGCTACTCGGGAGGCTGAGGCAGGAGAATGGCGCGAACCCAGGAGGTAGAGCTTGCAGTGAGCCGAGATCGTGCCACTGCACTCCAGCCTGGGTGACAGAGCGAGACTCCATGTCAGAAAAATAAATAAATAAATAAATAAATAAATAAATAAATAAATAAATAAGAAAAAGACACTTGCATGCGCATGTTTACAGCAGCAAATTCGCAATTGCAAAGATGTGGAACCAACCTAAGTGCCCATCAACCAACGAGTGGATAAAGAAAATGTGGTATGTCTACACCATGGAATACTACTTAGCCACAAAACAGAAATATAATAATGTCTTTTGCAGCAACTTGGATGGAGCTGGGGGCCATTATTCTAAGTGAAGTAACTCAAGAATGGAAAACCAAACATCATATGTTCTCACTTATAAATGGGAGCTAAGCTATGAGGACACAGAGGCATAAGAATGATAAAATGGACTTTGGGGACTCATGAGGGAAGGCTGGGAGGGAGGTGAGGGATAAAAGACTATGTATTGGGTACAATGTACACTCTCAGGTGATGGCTGCACTAAAATATCGGAAATCACCACTACAAAACTTAGCTATGTGACCAAAAAACACCTGTACCCCAAAAACTATTGAAATAAGCAAAGCAATGTTTATTTATTTTTATTGTTTATTATTTATCCCCTGTTTCTGACTAGAATATAAGTTTGAAATAGTAGGTTTTAATTTTTTTCCCCTGTTTTACTTACTTCTGTATTTACAGTGTCTATAATATTGGCTAACACATGCAGACACTCCAAAAATATTTGCTCTTTTGAAGGGAATGGGGGCATATCTATTATCTTTTATTTATTTATTTGAGACGGAGTCTTGCTCTGTTGCCCAAGCTTGAATGCAGTGGTGCGATATCAGCTCACTGAAACCTAAGCCTCCCAGGTTCAAGCGATTCTCCTGTCTCAGCCTCCGGAGTAGCTGGGATTACAGGCGCCTGCCATCACACCCAGCCAATTTTTGTATTTTCAGTAGAGTCAGGGTTTCACAATGTTGGCCAGGCTGGTCTTGAACTCCTGACCCCAAGTGATCCGCATGCCTCGGTCTCCCAAAGTGCTGGGATTACAGGTGTGAGCCACCATGCCTGGCTCTATTATCTTTTAACAAAAGAGGACTTAACTCCGAATCATCTGCCCCAGTGCCTCCACCCACTGAGGGTGATTCAGATGATTCTGAAACTGGGGGGGGAGGCACTGGGCCAAATGATTCTGGATTAAGTCCTCTTTTGAAGCTGGCCTGGTATGGTGATCTCTGTTTCCTGATGATGTCTTGTCATCATTAAGCATTATTAAGTAGCATGAAAGGCCTCAGTTGAAATGCCCCGATCCTTCACATGATGCCTGGAGCTGTGAAGTGGAGGGAGTCTCTGCCCCTGTGTAATCTGAGATGAGCTCAGTTATGCAGAAGTGTGGGGTGTGTTTAATGCCGCCAGTACTCACAGCCTGTCGTGATGCACCTTGCTAAGAACATTGCAGGCTGTTCTACCTGGTCTTTGTAACAATTCTGTGATATGGTGAGTAAGAATATCCCTATCCCTTCTTAAAGATAATAAAACTGAGGCTGAATGAGGGTTAGTGTCTTATCTGAGGCCACACAGACACTTTCTGGCTCAATTGCATTAACCTGGAATGTAACTGTGCATGTCAGTACTCCTGTGATTACAAATGATAGAAAACCTGACTCTTAGTGGCTTATAAATAAAGATAATGATAGGTCACAGGCTAAAATGTCCAGGCACCCAAAGGAGGTGAAAATGTATGCCCACAGCACAACCTGCACATGGATGTTGACAGCAGCTTTATTCATAATTGACAAAACTTGGATGCAACCAAGATGCCCTTTGATGAATGAATGATAACTAAACTGTGACCTATCCAGACAATGGAATATTACTGAGTGCTAAAAATAAATGAGTTATAAAGTCATGAAAAGAACATGGAGGTTCCTTCAGTGCATATTGCTAAGTGAAAGAAGCAAGTCTGAAAAGGCTGCATACGGTATGATTCCAACTCTAGGACATTCTGCAAAAGGCAAAGCTATGGAGACAGGAAGAAAATCACTGGTTGCCAGGGGTCAGTGAAACTATTCTGTATGGTCCACATGTCCTGGTACATTTGACAAAACCTGTAGGATGAACAATGTGAAAGAACCTGAATATAAACCATGAGCTTTGGGTGATGATAATGTGACCATGTGTGTTCATTGACTGCAACAAGTGCACCGCTATGGCATGGCTTGTCAACAGTAGGGAGGCGGAGTGAATTGGGGAGCATAAGATGTATATGGGAAATCTCTGTATCTTCTCAATTTTGCTGTGGACCTAAAGCTGTCCTAAAAAATAAAGTCTATATTAAAACAAATAAACAGACAAAAACCGAGCATAACCAGATCCAGGGTCTTAAATGTTGACATCTAAGCCAACTCTTCCGCCGTCTCTTGACTCTGCCTCCTTCTGGGTTGGGTTTATTTTCAAGCATACCCCATTCATGGACCAACTTCTAGAATTCCAGGCTCTCAACCCTATAGCTTTAAATCCTAGAAGAGGCATGGGCTCTTCTACAATTCCTAAAAGATTCTTTTAACATCCTGCACATGAAGCTTTTCCACCATGGGGTCCCATGCCCATCTCTGCCTAGGCAGATGCAATGCTCTGGTCGGCTGAGTAGAAGCCATAGGCTCTCTTCTGTACCTGGAGAGGGGGGTCAGCCCCACCCATACCATGTGGACTGAGAGCAGAGCTGTCATTAGAAGTATGTGGCAACCAACACATGCACCCTGCAGTAACTGATGTGCCTAGTGCCACAGTTTCACAATACATATATATACTTCAAGTGTAGAGTAGATTCACTCCTAGTGCCTGGATCCAGGCTGAAAGCCTTTGTCTCTGGGTGCTCAGGGACTGTTTGCTGAATATGAATGGGTCTAACCAGAGAGACT
Source organism: Homo sapiens (assembly GCF_000001405.40). Classification (NCBI taxonomy): domain Eukaryota; kingdom Metazoa; phylum Chordata; class Mammalia; order Primates; family Hominidae; genus Homo; species Homo sapiens. The sequence goes on from NW_003315940.1 coordinate 26,906, forward strand.
CTTGAGAGTTCTGTGGGAAGATTACAGGGGTGATATTTTATATGACTCTGGACAGATGCCTTGGAAGGAAAGTATCTCAATGATGCTGTCCATTGGAGGTTGTGCTTGCAATTAAAAATATGGTCTATGGTCTAAATGACTCATTTGCAATTTTTAAGCAATTTCTAAAATGTGATCTTTGAAAGAAAATAAAAGGCTTTAGTGGAAAGTCTGTTGCCAAGTTCTCTACCACATCATTTTGAATTCTCAAGAAGCAATGTATTTTAATTAACCCCGTGGTAGGGAGACAGCCTTTTCGCCATGGCATAGGAAAGTGTCCTGGTCAGATGGCTGGGAAAATAATTAGGAGGACAATAAATATAAATTTAATTTAAATGAGGCTATTAAGAGCTGAGACTTGGCATTTCACTATTTAGCATTATTAGGTCTGCATGTAACAAACCATTGCACTAAAAAAAAATGAAGATAGACCATCTAGTGTAATTTAAAACATCCCATTTACTCTATGTGTAGTTTGCAACTCTCCTCATAAGTCTGTTAAGCATAATGGCCATTCTTGGCTGGTGGTGTTTAATCACATTTTGAATGTGGTTCTCAGCATGTATTAGAAATAAATGGCCTGACTTTTCAACAGAGAAGTGACTGAGATTAGGCCATCTGCATGCAATGTCTTTTTATCCTGTAAGTAAAAAACCACCCTGGCTTATCTTGGGGTGGGGGAGCTCAGAGGGCACCAGTCAGGGTTCAGATGAGTTGAGATGGATTCTAGTTGGTAAGACTTAATTTCCTTAGGACAGAGAGGAGTCCTGGGAGGCGGCTCATCATTGCTGAAGATCAAGGCTTGGAGGAGCTACTGGACTTGGAGGTGCAGTCCCGATGCCTGGAGTCCATTCTTGCTGTTCTTGCTGAGAAGATGTTAGAGCACCACAGGCTTGTTGGCCAAGGTCCTGGAAAGGTGAATGCTGCCATTTGCTTTAAGCTCCCCAAACTATATTGTTAATATATGGAGGCTTTCACATGTACCTCTTCCTTTTCTGGCTACTTTGGGTTAAGATTCTTTATAGTCTGTATGAGTAAAGGCAAATAAATCTATCAAGGCTTGAATTAGGTCATTTAGCTCCTATATGTTTTATTTTTATTTGTCCACCCTCATGAGAACCAACAACAGAAAAAGAGTGAGATGGGAGCAGAATGGCTGGCTACCCAAAGAGATGGGAAGTCAAACTTACCTCATCCTGCAGTTCGGAAATGTCTTTATTTATTTAGAGATGGGGGTCTTGCTCTGTCTCCCAAGCTGGAGTGCAGTGGCACAATCATAGCTCATTTAGCTCACTGCAGCCTTGAACTCCTGGGCTCAAGCAATCCTCCCACCTCAGCTTCTCGACTAGGAAAATGTCTTTAATGATGACTCTGTGACTCAGGTCAATTGAACAGATGAACAGAATGGTCTGGGATGGAATTTAAGGCCAGGGTATTCTGGGTTGCCTTAGGGAGATTTATTAATTTTTTCTTCCTTTTAGTTTGAACCCAGGAAACATAGATTAGTTTGGTGATGCCTGAAGTATCACTCTGTCCAAAAGTGATACCTGAGTATCACTATGCCCAAAAGAGGACAATGGTACTTTTGAAATTTTAAAGCAAAGATGCAACAGTTTTCATCTACTCTTGATCGTTAGGAGTCTGAAGACCTGAGGATGGTTCCATCAGAGGGAAAGAAAGCAAATCACGTAGCCCTGTAAGTTACTGTGTATGGATGGAGGTTATGTCCACTGTGTGTTAACCACCCTCCTTTTGAAGGGTGAGATAAATTGACTAGCTAATCATCTACAGGTATGCAGAATCTCTAGTTTCTCGGCAGGGTCAGAAAAGCAAGCCTCAAACTGATTATGGTTCTAGCACAGAGGCAACGTCGAAAAGTAGAAGTAACAAAGTTTTGAAGTCAGAATTACCTTGAATCCTGGTTCAATTTCTTATTAATTGTGATAACTTGGGCAACTCACTTAACTTTTCCAAGCCTATTTCCTCATGTGTCATTTGACAGTCATAAAGCTCCCTCAGAGGGTAATTTTGACATGTAAATGAAAAAGGTATGTGGTCCAGGTACTTGGAAGATACTCAGGTGGATGCAATTTAAAGCACTAAGTCTCAGAACCGTGGTCAGAGTAGTAAACCACACCTGACTGGGAAAGCCTGCACTGCTCAGTTCTGTAGCTACTTAAGTGCTTGAAGTGTATCTTGCTTTTAATATATGCTAATGGTCAATAAGATGGTGTTAAGTCTCCACAGCCAGAAAAGAACCAGAGTTCATACTGCTCTGTGGAAAATGCAGCCACTGTTTGGATTGGGAGATGTTTTACTAAAAGGACCTGTACGACTGATGGTGTGGATCTCCTGGATGCGTGTGCATGGGGGCCACAGAGCAGCCCTTCATCATCCCCACGTCTTGCTTGTCTCTCTCCATCTGTGTCTTTGTGTATGAATGTGCATGTGTATTGGTGTGATTGCATGTGTGCCTGTGTGTGGAGAATGCTTGGACGTGAGAAGCTATTGCTACCTGAGGGTTTTGCTCTTGTGTTCCCTTTTTGTTTTCTTTCTTTTTTTTTTTTTCTTTTCAGACAGAGTCTCGCTGTGTTGCCCAGGCTGGAGTGCAGTGGCATGATCTCAGCTCACTGCAACCTCTGCCTCCTGGGTTCAAGCAATTCTTGTGCCTCAGCCTCCCAAGTAGCTGGGATTACAGGTGTGCACCGGCTCATCCGGCTAATTTTTGCATTTTTGTAGAGATGAGGTTTCACCATGTTGGCCAGGCTGGCTTGAACTTCTGGCCTCGAGTGATCCACCTTCCTCAGCCTCCCAAAGTGCTGGGATTACAGGCATGAGCCACCATGGCCAGCCTGTTTCCATTTTTTCAAACCCTGAGGTCACATCTCAAATTTTACACCCTCTGAGAAGCTCTCCTTTACACCCATCTCTACAGAATCCTCTCATTTCACACTATCCCTCTTTTCCTTTATCTTAGCATTATCTCTGCAACATTCCAAACACACTAGTTTATGCTGAGGTGTCAAACAAGCTTACAACCTCAGTGACTATAAGGGGGGACTGTAAGCAGAAGCAGCCACTGTTTTGAGTTCCACTGGTCCTCGAGGGGTTTGTGCTGTAAAAAATAAACCATTCTACCAAAAAGACACATGCACTTGTGTGTTCATCGCTGCACTATTCATAATAGCAGGGACGTGGAATCAACCCAGGTGCTCATCGATGGTAGATTGGATAAAGAAAATGTGGTACATATATAGCACAGAATACTACACAGCCATCAAAAAGAATAGGATCAGATCTTTTGCAGCAACATGGGTGGAGCTGGAGGCCATAATTCTAAGCAAATTAAGGAAGGAACAGAAAACCAAATATCACATGTGCTCAATTACAAGTGGGAGCTATATATATATATATTTTTTTTTTTTTTTCAGGCAGTCTATTGCTTTGTTGCCCAGGCTGGAATGCAGTGGCACAATCTCAGCTCACTGCAACCTCTGCCTCCCAGGTTCAAGCAATTCTCATGCTTCAGCCTCCCAAACAGCTGGGATCACAGGTGTGCAACACCACGGCCGGCAATTTTTTTGTAATATTAGTAGAGACAGGGTTTCACCATGTTGGCTAGGCTGGTCTTGAACTCCTGGCCTCAAGCAACCTGCCTGCCTCGGCCTCCCAAAGGGTTGGGGTTACAGGCGTGAGCCACTGCTCCCGGCTGAGAGCTAAATATTGAGCACACATGGACATAAAGATGAGAACAGACACTGTGGACTACTAGAGGGTGGAGGGAGAGTGGTGGATTAAAAAAAAGTACCATCCTCCAAACCTTGGCTTCACACAATATTCCCATGTCACTCTCGCCTGGCTCACTGCTGCACACCCAGTGCTGAGAACGGAGCCTGGTATGCAGCAGTGGCTCAGGATTGAGCACTGGTGTGTGTCTGCCCACGGTGCATGCATATGCGGACTGGCATGGCTCATTGTGTGTCTTTATTGTGTTGTTTCCTCACAGGTGCAGGGCCTGGACATTCTGAGACCCTCCTAACTTCAAATGCTTTTGTTTCCTTAATGAGGTGGCACCTAATAGAACACATATCCTGATTCTGTATTCAAAGAGTGTGTTCTCCACACTCTAATCACCCTCATTAAGGAGAACCAGTCAACCTAGATCAGAGAGAGGACGTGTTTTTGCTCTGGGATTCAACGGGGTTTTCGGTCACTGGCTCCAAGGGCTCTGACCTTGAATGTTCAGAGCTGGAGTAGAAATTGACTCTTTGTTGAAATATTGGACTGACAGCAAAGCAGGCTGTGTTTGCTCCCAGGGCACTCCTGACCCTCCCCTGTGGCAGCAAGGGGCAGGAAGGTGGGAGCATGTTCATGATGGCAAAAATCCATCTCCCCAGTTGCCATCAGACACCCCCTGGCCCCTCATGAGTGCAGTGTGGGTAGAGTCAGGCCAGCTCAGTCATCAGAAGGGACATCACCTTTTGTTCCGGGGCCCATGAGTTGTTTTCATCCTCCAGACACCAGGTCCTGGAATCCTGATTATGCCTGGAAATGCTCTAAAGATGGTGCTCTCCATCTTTACTAGCCCTGTTGATGTGTCCCCAACACTGTATGAACTGGCTTCACCCCTCCTGGAACCCAGAGAAAGAACTCCTCAAGTAATAAGCATGGAGGTCTTTCCTTACCTTGAGTTGCTCCTTATCATGAGGGTTTTTTTTTCCTTTTTTCTTTTTTTTTTTATCTCATAACTGGACCCATGAGCAAGTCTTAAGGGGCAAAAGAGAAACCTACCACTTTTTAATCATAATTTGCCATCACTTCCTACATGCATCTCACTCATAATTACCCAGAGCAAATTAATTGTTTCTAATCAAATTATTGCAGGTGGGAATGGGGCACAATTGCACACATAATATTTCAGGATTGCTTGAATGGATATGATGCATGAAAGAGAAGTTAGAGAAGTTACATCTGCATAATTATTTCTACTGTATGGTTAGATCTAATTACTTTAGAGTAATTATCCTAGACCAGTGGACTCGAACTGAGGGCATTTTGTCCCCAAAGGAACACGGGCAAATGTCTGAAAACATTTTTGGTTGTCCCACTGGGGCATTGCTGGTATGTTGTGAGTAGAGGCCAGGAAAGCTGCTAAGCATCTTACAATGCATAAGACAGCTGCCCTTACAAAAAATAATCATCTGGTCTAAAATGTGACTAGTGCCCAAACTGAGAAACCCTGTCCTAGAAGAAAGAGCTTTTGTAATTAACAAAATGAACCAAGTAGGAGCTATAACCAAAGAATTTTCATTGGCTGGAGACAGAGTGTTTCATTTCTTCTGAAGGAGAGCTCCCCACTTAAGGATGTTTACACATTTCATATTTACAAGAGCCAGGAAATCCTTTCTATTGAATTTCTGCCCAGTTGAAAAGTCTTACAGGGACCCCAGAATTACAAGCATTTGAATTTAATTGAGTCTGAAATGGGATTCAGTATGCCATTCCACTTGGAGGTAATCATAATTCCCTCAATAAATTCTCAAGCTTTCTGGGGCTGGAGGCAGTATTTAAACTTGTCTTTATAGCCCAGTGTCTTTGCACTTAGAGGATGTTCAGGACATGTACTTTGAACTACAGTTTTTGAATATCTCACTTGTGTTTTTTCTTCTGAACAGAAAGCATAAGTATGTATGTTTGTATATACGTTTCTAGGTGTGTGTGCATGTGTATACATTTTCTTTCAGATGGACATTTAATTTCCTTCTTTGCTCTAGTGGCATTTAAATAATCACTGATAATTACTAGTGCTTCTAAAGTGCTATAGGCTCTAATTTTCCTGGACAAAGTCGGTGACCCTTGTCACTTGTGGTACCCCATGAAAAGGTCATCTTCACTCTCCTTTTCAGTGCTGAGTCAGTTGTAACAAGAACTGCTTTTGAAACATTACCATTTCATGGCCCTCCTTGCCGGTGGACATTAATTCTAAGTCATTTTATCTTGGCTGTGATGCTTTTTTAAAATATAGTAATCTTAAATGGGTTGCTCCTGGTTTTGATATTAACAAATATTTATTGGGCATTAATTGCCTGAGAATACTGTGAAGGGTTCCCCCAATAAATCAGATCCAACCTTTGTCTCCAAGAAGTTAAAGAGTCTCAATAGACTTTCAGATCTCATTGTAGACCAAACCTTACACACTAGAGTAAGTTGACTCAAGGATGACTGGGTTTTGCATCTTTCCCGTATGTTGGTGCTCAGCACTCTGTGAGTGCTTAATAAATGCCCAGGAGAAGACTTTTGCATCAGATGCATGATACCAATTAAATGCAGCAGCCAAACCTCAAGCTTGGCCTCTTGAGGTTCCAATGTAGCCTGGCTTTGCTGTTGTACAATTCTCTTGGACAAAGGAAATCTCTGTTTCTGTTAAGAGGGCAGTGGGATCGGTAGAGATAAACTTGGCTACAAAGATCCTAAATGCAAGTGGGAAATGTGGGACAGTGACTGATAAACAAGAGGATCAAGTCATGGGCACAAAAGTAGGCAGAAGAAGTTCATAGGAAAGAACTGGAAATTAGGGCTGCCAGGAAGAAGAAGGAATCACATGTGGAAGTGACTTTGTGCTGTTGCTCACAGCCAAGCCATTCATTCATTCATTCTTCATTCATTCATTCATTCATCCATTTGTTTGTTTATTCGCTCACGGTATGTATGTGGAGTTGCTACTATGTGCCAATTACTCTTGGAGAAACAGCAGCAAACAAGCAAAATCCCTGACATCAAAAAAGTTTCCTCACAGTGGGGAGGCACAAAATAAAAATAAGTTAAATATTTAGTGTGTTAGATGTTGCTAAGTTCTCTGGGAAAAAAATAAAGCAAGGAGAGAGGGTAAGGAGTGCCAGCCTGGATGAGTGGGTTTTAGGAGAAGCTGTCAATCAAAACCTCACTTAGGAGGGGCCACATGAATGAAGACCTGAAGGAGAGGAGGCAGCAATGGGGGGTGGGTATCCACTATGGTTTGTTTGTTGAAATTTGATTCGCAGTGTTGGAAGTAGAGCCTGGTGGGAAGTGTTGGGATCCTGGGGACAGATCCCTTATGAATGGCCTGGTGTCATTCTTGCAGGAGTAAGTGGGTTCACACTTTTAGTTCTTGTAGGAGCTTGTTGAAAAGTCCCTGGCACCTCCTTCTCTCTCTCTTGCTTCTCTCTCTTGCCATGTGATCTGCATACATTGGCTCCCCTTACCTTCCACCAGAAGTAGAAGCAGCCTGAGGCTCTCACAGAAGCAGATGCTGGCGCCATGCTTCTCATACAGCCTGCAAAACTGTGAGCCAAATAAACCTTTCTTCTTCACAAATGATCCAGCCTCAGGTATTCCTTTGCAGCAACACAGATTAAGACAGTGTCATGAGGGAGGAGTGGTCCTGGCAGGGGCTGTGCCAGTGCAAAGACGTGAAGCAAAATCCTGCTTGGTGCTGCAGGAACAGCAAGAGGGGCAGAGCCGCTGGAGCAGAGTGAGCCAGGGAAGGTTAGCAGATGATCGTGAACAGACAGTGGGCAGGGCAGGCAAGGGTACTCAGATTGCCAAGACTTTATACGTTCAATAAGGACTTTCAGTTTTTTGTGAATGAGATGACTACATCAAAGATTTTGAATAGAGAGTAACATTATAGGACTTATATTTTAACAGCATCACTAGACTGCTGCCTGGAGATAGGATGATGGGGTAGAGTTGGGGCAAAAGGAGACTTTTGTCTCCACAGGGAGACCACTGTGGGAGATTTTGCAGCAGCCTGGGTCAGAGATGAAGCTGACTTGTGCCAAGGTTGAAGATATAGATGCGATGAAAAGTACTAAGCTTTTTAAGAACCAGGTTTATTAAGATGTAAGCCATATACCATGCAATTCACCCATTTAAACTTCTATGGCCTCTGTGGCTATCAAAATCTCCTCCAACAAAATCAGGCTAACGAGGAACGAGGAAAGTGTCTTGTTAGTACCTAAAATAGCTGGTGGCCTTAATTACGGTCTGAAGAAGCTGGCCACGCTGGGTGCTGGTTTGTTGTGGTATATCTCTTAGTTCACCTTGAAAATTAGCTCTGAAAGGATTTGAAGAAACTAGTCACAGAATGATAAGTGTTGTTTGGTTTTGATGTTTTTGCTTGTTTTGTGTTATCTTTTGTATCAACTGTTTTAGCTGCTTCCAAATCGCATAAACTACGGAAGGTTGTCCTCGGTCAGTAAGTGTTAGCTAATTTCCCTGCTTCTTTCAGAAAGACCCCTGTTCTCAGAGGAAGATAATCCATATTCACACTTGGTTATAAGTATTTTATATGCATCTATTTCTTGTAAATCAAGAACCAAAAAGATCAGTAGTTGAACGACCTTTTTGCCTTTACACAATGCTTTTTATTTGGAAGGGTACAGTGTACACATTAATTCACTGAGGTAACACTGTTCTGAATCAACCCACTACTAGGATTCTTTAAAATATGAAAAAGATTTGCAGATTACCCACCTACAGAATTAAATGCAAAACAAATAAAATACTGGATGGTTATTATATTAGTCAGTGTCTTACCAGGACACCCAAACTCCTTTTGTATTTAGAAGACAGCAATGTAGTAAATGGGCTGTACACAGGTGCTATGACCACTCTAGGCATTGAGGCTCCCTGAGTTTCAGCAGTAAGAGGAGGCTGTTTCCACTTCTAGGTTAAAAGGACAAAGGGAGGATGTGGCTCTTTCTTTCCTTCTACCTACTGTCCTCAGCACTTTTCTTCTGATCTCAGGCTTGCTGCCTTGGGCTGCAAGGTGGAGGTCACCAATTCAGGCACTGTGTTCTCACACAGGTATGCTTAGAAACAGAAGGGTGCGGTGGTGATCTCTAGAGGGTGTGTCTCATGCCGGAGTGGACTGCCTGGAAACTCCCCGGGGCCTTGCCCTGATGTCCCATTGGCCAGACTGGGTCCATGCTCACCCTTTCCTGCCAGCCTCTTCTTATCCCTTCCAACGTCCCAGGTGCCCGAGAGGCTGCTAAGTGAACACTTGGCATTTTCTACCTAACTGGGTATAGAAAGCCTTTTGTGAATGTACATTTTGATAAACTTCTATAACCTTAATCAGTAATCCTCAATGGAGTGATTCTGTCTCCACCTTCAGGGCATATTTAGCAATGTCTGGAGACATCCTAGTTATCCTCAAATCCTCAACTGAGGGCAGGGGTATTGCTATTGGCATCTAGTGAGTAGAGAACAGGCCATGTAAATATCCTACAATGCGTGGGACAACCTCCACCCCAGAGACTTATCTGACCCCAAATGTCAATAGCACAAAAGTGGAGAAATCCTGCTCCAAGGAATTTCATTTATTTATTTATTTATTTATTTATTTATTTATTTATTTATTATTATTATACTTTAAGTTTTAGGGTACATGTGCACAATGTGCAGGTTAGTTACATATGTATACATATGTAACTAACCTGCACATTGTGCACATGTACCCTAAAACTTATAAATCATGCTGCTATAAAGACACATGCACACATATGTTTATTGTGGCATTATTCACAATAGCTCCAAGGAATTTCAAGGCCAGTCTGTGTTGTGGTCCTTGGTTCATTTGCAATTGGTGGTTTCAGTAAGCATTCATTCCTGGCTTTAACCAGAACTTGTTGAGGACAATTGACTCAATGCTTTGATAAGAGGGAGAGAGTAACCTTTTGGATCATTTTGGGTATGTACTGACCAAAATCAGTCTGTGGACTTCCAATTTGCATTTGTGGCTTTCTGCATTGTATAATACTTTCCCTGTAGGGCTGAGTGCCCTGAAGGATCTTCTCCCTTCAGAGTGCCGAGACATGTCTACTAAACTCCAACATGCACCCTGTTCTCCAGGAAAGTGGTCACCGGTGCCCCAGTGTTGATGTCAGTGGCCATGTCAGCTCCCATCTAGCTAACACTAGAATAACATTTCTTTCAGCTACTCCAGCTAAGCTCAGACCATTGTTCTAGCATAGAAGTCATGAACACAGACCCTGAAATCAAACATCAGATAGCAGCTTAATCACTGGTAAGTGCGAAATGCATATACAGAATGCTGTGTATCCTATGACATTAGTGAACAAGGGCTGCACTCATATATGCGTTTCACAGCATCTATGCATTTGTCTATCTGCAGACAAATAGGGAAACCAGAATAATAAGATCAATGATGACAATGAGATTTTTAAAACTAAACACTTCACATGTATATTCCATTTCTTCATCCATGTTGAGAGAACACAGATATTCACTTTACTGTTATTCCTTTCGTCATATGTGAACTTACCTTTACCTGGATATCTGCAAGTACTTTCTACATTTCTTTATCATGTGCCTGTGTTATCAAAAGAAAAAAAACGAAACTGAAAACAAATCTCCAGATTCATTGAACTAGGTAGGATACATCTTTTGAAACCAAACCAAAAAGAATCCAAATACATATGACTTCCCTGAGACTATAGTGGCAGAAACATAATTTGAACCTGGCTCTCTGGCCCCAGAATCTGCTCTATTTCCAGTCCTCATCTCATTTCTCTGAGGATCCTGGGTGCCATGTTGGGCCAGTGGCTTTCAGACCTCCTGGGTGAATGTCTTGCTCTTGACATTGGCCAGGGAATTGGCATCTTCATTGGTAAAAAGCCTTGGCCAGTCTATGACATTGAGTTTTATGATGTTCATGGTTGTAGATTCTTGTTGGAATCTCTTTCTCTAGGTTTTATTTTCAGTTCAATTAAGGAAGAAAGGATGAAGGACAGAGAGAAAGGGACCATGCCCTTGCATCCTCAGAACCTAACAGTGTCATTGAACAGGATGAGCAAGATTTGTCCTGGCCAGTACCTTCCTGGGAAGTTCTAACAGGAAGGCAGGTGAGGACGGGAAATGATCCATCACGGTTTTTTTTTTAGTATGCTTGAGTCAGCTCCCTGTGTTTAATTAAATTTGGTTTCTGTATGAAGCACATGAATGTATATAAACCCAAACAGAAATGTCTGTAGGGGAAACAATGGCTTCCACCTAATACTTATCAGGCACAACGCCAGCAGTAGCTGCCGCAAGCTCAGTCATTTTGTCACTGGCTGTTTTCTTGTGCTGAAGGCAGATGAGGCAGGTTAGGCGGCAGATGAGGCAGGTTAGGCAGCAGATGCTCCTGCCTGGGGCTGCTTAGAACTGGATGGAAACATCTGGTCCAGTTGCCACTTTGGCCATGGTCTGCCTCTGAGCAGGAGAAGTGGAAAAGCAGATATACTTGAAAGTGGAAGGAGAAGCATGTAGCACCACAGCTAAGTAAATTGCATCTGGAATCAGGACAACCTAGTTTCAAGTCCCAGCCTTGCCACTAACAGACTGTGAGCACTGGGCAGGTCTCTGGATCTCCCCTAGCCTCAATATTCCCATCTGCTGATGGGTACAGCACTGCCTGTCTCAGAATGGTACAGCAGAGCACCTGGTGTTCAGGAAACACCATCAGTGAAAGAAGGAACAGCATTGTTGCCTTTAAGTTGGGCACTGAGACTACACAACCTGCCTCACCCATGTGATGTGCGCAGTTTTAGATTCTCGGGAAGATGTATCCTCCATGTGTTTTGTTTGGCCCACCCAACATATTCACAATTTCTAAATTTATTTTCAAGATTAAAATTTAGAAATTTTACTTAACATGGAAGCTTCTGATGTGACATAGTTGAAGACCTGGCTACTCTGGGCCCCTTGTCCCCCTTGCTACAATTAGCTGTAGCTGAGAAGATGCTGCTTGCCTGAAACTCGGCATGGACTCTCTAGTTACAATGACAATGATGCCAACTTTGACACTTACTGAACATTTACTGTGGACAACATCTCATGGGCAGAGACAAAGAGAATCCCCATTTTACAGATGAGGCACAGAGAGGTTAAGTGACTTGCCTAAGGTCACACAGTTATTATCGACTGAGTTGGAAATGAAGCCTGACATTCAGCTCCTGGTGTCCCTTCCACAATTCCTCTATGGCAGCTTCTCCCCAACCAGACCTGATTCACTCATTAACCTGCCTGGCTCTCATTGGCATTAGAGTTTTTCCTCTGAGTCAGTTGTTCTCCCACTGCTATAATATCACAGATTTCTCAAAAAACTAAAAATAGAATTACCATTTGATCCAGCAATTTCACTACTGGGTATCCACCCAAAGGACAGTAAATCAATTTATCAAAGTGATACCTCCATTCCCATATTTATAGCAGAACTATTCACAATAGCAAAGATATGGAACCAACCCAAGCGTTCATCAATGGATCAATGGATAAAGAAAACGTGGTGTATATACAAAATGGAACACTATTCAGACATAAAAAAGAATGCAACTATGTCATTTGTGGCAACATGGATAGAACTTGAGGTCACTATCTTAAGTGAAATAGGCCAGGTATATAAAGACAAATATCACATGTTCCCACTTACATGTGGAAACTAAAAAATGGGAAAACATGGAGGTAGAGAGTGGAAAGATGGATAACAGAGCCTGGAAAGGGTGAGTGGGAGGGGAGGAAGAAAGATGAAGAGAAGTGGGTTAAAGACTACAAATATATAGTAAGATGGAAGGAATAAATTCAATGTTTGATAGCACACTAGGGTGACTATGCTTAACAAAGTGTATCATGCTTGGGTGAGGACAACCCAAATACTTCAACCTAACTTGATCACTATATATTATATACACGTTAGAAAATTTCTCACATGCCCCATACATTCGTACAAATAAAAAACATATAACACAGATTGTATTTGGTTTTGGCAGCAATGTTGGAGCTTATTTCAACAAGCTCATTCTTCCAGGGATGCTCAGTTGTGGAGGATCACATTTCCCTGGTCCTTTAAATTTCTTGCTCTCTCCCTGGTTCGAGGAGAATTTTTTTTTTTTTTTTTTTGAGACGGAGTCTCGCTCTGTTGCCCAGGCTGGAGTGCATTGGCGCGATCTCGGCTCACTGCAAGCTCTGCCTCCCGGGTTCACACCATTCTCCTGCCTCAGTCTCCCGAGTAGCTGGGACTACAGGTGCCTGCCACCTTGACCGGCTAATTTTTTTGTATTTTTAGTAGAGACGGGGTTTCACCATGTTAGCCAGGATGGTCTCGATCTCCTGACCTCGTGATCTGTCCGCCTCAGCCTCCCAAAGTTCAAGGAGAATATTTTTATAATCACCACCTAAACGGAGGTTGAACTGACCTGAAAGCCAATGGCTCCAGAGTTTCAGCTCTTTTTTTTTTCTTTTTCTTTTTTTTTTTTTTTTTTTTGAGACAGAGTCTCACTCTGTTGCCAGGCTGGAGTGCAGTGGCACGATCTTGGCTCACTGCAAGCTCCGCCTCCTGGGCTCAAGTGATTCTCCTGCCTCAGCCTCCCGAGTAGCTGAGACTACAGGCGCACACCACAATGTCCAGCTAATTTTTGTATTTTTAGTAGATATGGGATTTCACCATGTTGGCCAGGATGGTATTGATCGCTTGACCTCATGATCTGCCAGCCTCAGCCTCTCAAAGTGCTGGGATTACAGGCATGAGCCACCGTGCCTGGCTGAAGTTTCAGCTCTTTACTGGAAAATGTTTATCTTGGAGTGGTGGTGGCAGGTCGGGGGGCATGGCATGAATTCTGCTTAGAAGTCCTTGCTGGTTGTAGTGAAATGGCCAAAGGTTGGCCTTATCTCAGGCAGGACACACAGTCCATCCCTAGTGGTAGACCAGAAAATCGATTGCAATTGATTAACAATTAGTGAGTCATTTCCATGGAAGTCATTTGTGTTTTCAACAGCAGCTCATCCTCATTTCACTGCCAATTGATTCAGTCTTCTGCTCACAGTCCACGGCTAATGACATAGTAATTCCAATACGAGCTGTGGTTCAAAAGGCACCATTTGTGATGTGCAAACAAAAGTCTGATACGGTGAAATTCCAGCCAATTCACTTTGATGAACTGAGCAGAAGAATTTGTTTTGGACTGGGCTGCATCCCTTTACTGGTGACTTAATTGCAAAGGGCTTAATTCCAACATTGAAGGGAGTTCTAAGGAGTGTCCCCTCTCTTGGCTGACAGCACTACTCCTTCATTTATCTCCATCTCGGCAAATGGTGCCACCATCCACAAAATTGCCCTGACCACAGATCTAAGACAAATGCTGATGACTTTCTTCTACTCTACCACCATATCTAGTCAGTCTGCAAGCCCTGGGGACTCTAACCTGCACAATACATGTAGACGTCACCTATTTTTATCCGTCTCTGCTGCCTCCATCCCAGCCCAAGTCACGTGGACCTCTCCCTGGGTAAACTTCCTCAACCTCTTGCCCAGCCTCTTTCCCCCTTCTGGCCTCTAGCTGATTCAGTCTCCACACAGTGACCACAGTCATCTTTTTAAGTCATAAAACAGATGATATGAGTCTTTTGCTTAAAATTCTCCTTTGACTGCCAATCACAGTTAGTAGTGAATGTAAATTTCTCATTGTCAACTAAAGATATCTTCTTGATTTGGCTCTGTCTGCTCTGTTCCCGCATCTCTCACTGATCTTCCTCTCCCTCTCCACACTCCATCCTCCTTCTTTCCAGGAACAGCTTAATTCTGCTCTCACCTCAGGACCTTTGCACATGCCCTTGCTTCTGCCAGCAACAGTCTGCCCCCAGAGGACTGGCTCCAGCTTGCCCATCATGGCAAGGAAACACAGGATTCCCTTTCTTTGGTAGACCTGCTGTTTCCTAGTCATTCTCTATGATATTAAACTCTTTTCTGTCCTTTATTATACTCAGCCATCTTCAAAATGATTGTATACATATTTATTTGCATATTATTATAATTTACATATTATTATTATTGTTTCTCTCTTTCTCCATTAGTGTATCCTCCATAGGGACACAGATCTTGTATGGCTTTATAATTTTCTATTCAAAGAATCTGGAAGAGTGCTTAGCATATGGTGGGTATTCTGTTTGTTGGAATGTAACCACACTTTGTGTGCATCTTGTGCCTTTCTTGGCTCTCGAAAGTCTTACATTTGGTATGGTTTATGACTAGCTGGGCTGCTGGGGAAAAGGGTGAATTGTGGCCTTGGTCTCCTAAAATTGCTGCTCTTCAAGGGGAAGTGGTGAAGCCATTGACTAAGGACCCACCTCTAGAGGCCCTTGCTTCTTGATAACGCTGTAACCATTGTGAGGGGATAGCGGGGTCTTTGTGATCTTGTGTAATTTGCCTCCTACATAGCAGGCCCTGCAGTGGGCATTTGAGGAAATAAGCGAAAATAAGACATGATCCTTCTCCTGACAATCTCGTTTAGTTTGGGGATTAGGCAGGTAAAAAATGATGGTTCCAATCCAGGGTTAGAAATGCTGTTCTGTAAGATGGTACCAAGCTCCAAGGGAGCACAGAGGAATGGCTAGTAACTCTGTAAGAGGAATCATGAAGGGCTCCTACAATAGGAGCAATTGTGTTGGGTCTTGAAGAACAAGTAGAAGTTTACTGGACAAAGAAGCTGAGATCTGATGTTTAAGACATGTTTAAACAGCGAACGAATAAATCCCTGTGTGCATTTGGAATGCCACTCTGCTCACCGCTTAATTTTCAGGTGCACGGGTGGGAGGGTTTATGGAAGTACCTATCAGAAGGAAGAACAAAAAAATTGTGTCTCAGTTTCCCATTCAGATTTAGTTGCAATTCCTGGATTTCTAAGCAGATGTGATCTATGGAGGAACAACCCGGCTAACTGTCTGATTCCTTTCTTCATTTTTGCCTTTTCTGGCTTTCTCGTTTCTTGTTTCCTTTATTCTTTTCTATTATGTTTTGTTGTCTAACAAAGAGCATGTTAACTTTAAAAAATTTTATCAGAGCACTAAATTCATTTTAAATGATGTAGCAGACTGCCAGTTACCTAGGCAATATTTGATTTCTCTTTCCTCTTTAATAACAGAATTTCATTAGGATCAATGGTGAGCTAAAAGTCCACATTTCTCATCTTCCTTTGCAGCTTAGTTCCCCAGGTGATTAAGCTGTGGACCGTGAGATATTAGTGGACGTAGTGTGTTGAGCTTCTGTAAAGACCACTTGAAGGGAGCTGCCTCAGCTTGGAAACAAGGGCTCTTTTTATTCTTCTGTCTTCTGTTTGCTGCTTTTAACTGAGAGGAGATGACTGGAGCTCTGGCATTCATCTTGGACCTCAAGGTGTCTCTGATGGTGGAAGCCATATGACAGGATGGGAGAGCAAAAAGTTCCAAGGGCCCACGGAGAGGACACACTAGCTTTAGGTTGTTTCTTATCATCGCATTTTCATTTCCTCATTTGTATCATGAATTTATTAACAGTTCTTAACTCTTTATGTCATTTGTAAGATAAAATGATATGATTTATGTAAAATTATTGAGGACAGTACATGTCACGAAATAAGGGTGTTATACACAATTTTACTACTGTTTTGCATTGCTTTATATTCTAGTAATCACCAGTAAACACTTTAGCTTGTTCAATTCCTATATTACCTCCCTGAAGTATGACACCCACGCAATTCTGCCTGTATTTTACTGATGACAATTCATGCAGCTCATAAAGGGTAGGACAGAAATCAGCTTTGAGATTAAACTGAAAATGTGCAATAACAACAACATTATCACACACATGATTTATTATTTTATGTAGATTTTTCTCTTTTCATCGTCCAGTCCCCTACGACATGGATGTTGTGCCTTCCATTCTAGAGATGAGAAAACTGAGGCTGCCAGATACCAGGTATCTTGCCCAAAGTGACACAGAAAGAAATTGACAAGTATGCCTGATGCCTCTGCTGAGTGGTTGGTTGGGATTGAGGCAAAGGTCTCCAGGAACCGGGTCCTTTGTTCTTTCTGTAGGGTCATAGCTACCCCTGTTTCTGGGCTGTCTGTATAAATGAGACCCATTAGTCATGTAGCAGGAATTACACCTATGGAATTGAAAGCTTTAGTTTTAGTATAGCCTTATACTCAAAAGCCCTGGAGTGAGGACTAATTGGAAATTTTTACTGGTGCAACTTTTAATAATGATGATGCTATTGTAGTCTCCCTGCCTCTCAATATTCACAGAACTAAGCATGGCCCAATTTTGAAAACATCTGTGCAAAGGATCTTTTTAAAGCCTGCTGTCTATATCACAGAAGCCATCAGGGTCTGCGCATGTGGAGCTCATCTGGCCTTAGTGCAGATGGAGCCAGGAGATTCTGGCCTGATGCTAATGACACCGTGTATGTCCTTTGAAGAATGCCTTTCTCTCCACATTGCCCTGAATATGCAGACATCTCTATAGGCAATGCCTGACTCTGGGTGACGTTAATTCCATCATTCTGCATCTGAAATGGCAACTGGTTATATTTGCCTCAGAGTTCTAATTCTCTCATTTGTCTAAATTCTTCCCAGAGAGTTTTGTTTCTGTGCTGGCCTGTAATATTTTATCACAAGGCATATTAGTTCATTCTCACACTGCTATAAGGACATACCTGAGACTTGGTAATTTGTACAGGAAACAGGTTTCATTGACTCACCATTCAGCATGGTTGGGGAGGCCTCGAAATTTACAGCCACGATGGAAGGGGAAGCAAACATGTCCTTCTTTACATGGCAGCAGCAAGAAGTGCAGAGCGAAGGTGGAGAAGAGCTCCTCATAAAAGCATCAGATCTCGTGAGAACTCACTCACTATCACGAGAACAGGATGGAGGTAACTGCCCCCATAATTCAATTACCTCCTATGACACGTGGGGATTATGGGAACTACAGTTCAAGACAAGATTTTTTGAGGACATGGCCAAACCATATCACAAGGGTAGAGTTTAACAGGAGTGTTTTGATCTCAGGTAAAACAGGGTAGGAGCCTGGGCTCATAATGTCACTTTGCATTATTATAATGGTTTGTGATTTACCAAATGCTTTGTTATGCATATTCTTATTTGATTCTCTGTAAGGTGAGTAGAGAAGAAACAATGATCTTTATACTTGAATGCTCAACAATATTTGGTGGAGCTGATTACTTGATTTTTCTTCAAACATTTTGTTCACTTCCCATCTGGTACACAATTCTCTCAGTCCTTTTTCTTTAACCTCACTGCCTTAATGTTCTTTGGTAGACTTGCTAGTCTTTTTTTCTCTTCCAGAGCTCCAAACATTGACGTATCCCAGAAATCAAATTTTATAAAACATATTTTCTCTATGCATCATTAGTTTTACACCAAGTGACCTGATTCAGTAGCATGTGTTTAAATGTCATTTATTTATCCCAGATTAATATCTTCAGCCATGATTGCCCTGAAATTCTACTTTCATATGGACAACTATCTCCCCAAAATCTCCATTCAAGTGGCTAATAGGTCTCTTCAACTTGCAGTGTCCCAAATTGATTTGTTGATCTCTATTCCCCTGCAATTCTTGTCTTCTCAAAACCAGAAAAGGCTGCTTTCATCTGTCATGGGTTGATTGGTTGCCCCAAAAGATATATC
Source organism: Homo sapiens (assembly GCF_000001405.40). Lineage (NCBI taxonomy): Eukaryota > Metazoa > Chordata > Mammalia > Primates > Hominidae > Homo > Homo sapiens. The sequence continues at coordinate 45,449 of NW_003315940.1, forward strand.
CAAGCTGTGAGCTTCACTTTACTTGGGAAAAGGAACTTTACAAATGCAATTAAGTTAAGAATCTCGAGATAAGATCATCCTGGATCTCGATTGGATCCTAAATCCAGTAACAGGTGTCTGGATAAGAGAAAGGCAGTGAGATATTTAAGACACACAGAGACACAAGCGAGAAGGCCACATGAAGACAGAAGCAGAGGTTGGAGCAAATCATCAACAAGGCAAGGAACGCCATGGGTTGCTGGCAACACCAGGAGCTGGGAGAGAGGGAACAAATTCTACCTGAGAGCCTCCAGTAGGACCCACCTTGCTGACATCTTCATTTTGGACTTCTGGCCTCCAGTTTGTGGCACTTTGTTGTAGCAGCCCTAGGAAACTCATGCACCATCTTTCCATGTATTCAGACTCAAGTGGCAAATGTGGATTGTCTCTTCTCCTTCTTTCACTCCTACATTCAACCCATCAGAAAACTGCCAGCTCTAATTTCAAAGTGTCTCACTTTTCCAAACTTCCTCGACACTTCTGCTACTGTCACTCTTGTGTCTGCTATCATTCTTGCCTGGTTATTGTAATCACTTCTTTGCTGGTAAGATAATGTCCCACCTCTACCCAGGTCCCGCCAGTGCCTTCTTATCTTTCTCAGAGCAAGCACCCCAAATTCCTCCTATGGCCTACTAGGACCACCAGCCTGGGGTCCTGGCCTGCTCTCTGACCCCACCTCCCACCACTCTCTGTCTTCTTCGCTCACCGCACTGCAGCCACTCTGGCTTCCTTACTATCTCTCAGACCTTCCATACATAGTCCCGCCCCAGGACTTTTGCACATGCTATTCCTGTGGCTGACTCTCTCTTTTCCAGATAGTGATTTGGCTCCCCAGTTACATCAAGCAAATCTCTGCATAAATATCATTTTTATCAGAGCTTATGTCCCCAAACACCCTGTGTGAAACATTAACCCCATCAATTACTGTCTCTTCTCTAGCTTTATGTTTCTTTATCATACCTATGTGTTGTCAATATATATTTGTGTGTGGTGTCTTTTTCCAAGTTGAATGTAAGCTTCCTGGGTTACAAGGTATTTTTCCCTCTAGTATTTTTCTCTGCTATACCCAGGACTTAGACCAGTGTCTGACATGGAATAGGTGATCTGTACATATCTGCTGAATGAATAATGAATCTCAATTTTACTGAAAAATAAATTTGAGTTTCAGAAGGTTATAGGGCCTTAATCCATTAAGAACCCATACATTTTGGTGGTACATCACCCTGGGTCTCCCAATTCTATACAGGTTCTTCAATGTCACTATTCAAGGTGTTCATTACTGAGGAGAGGGAATTTCCTCAAGTGTGCTTCTTCCCACGTATTACAGGATATAAACAGCCCCTTAAACAAATGTTTTGGGTCTAGTAAAGTCAGGAGACAACTAAAGTGATGAACTATATTAGTTTCTCATTGCTGCTGTAACAAATGACTAAAACTTGGTGACTTTAAACAACAAAAACTATTCTCTTACATTTCTGGAGGTCAGAAGTCTAAAATGGGCTTTATAGGGCTGAAATCAAGGTGTTGGCTGGGCTCTGTTCCTTCTGAAGCCTCAAGGGCACAATTCGTTCCTTCCTTCAGCTTCTAGAAGGTGCTCACATTCCCTAGCTGGTTTCTCCCTGACATCTCCAAAGTAAGCCATGGCTGATCGAGTCTTACCTTATGTCACTCTGTCTCTCTTATGAAACCCCCATGGTTACAGTGGGCACGTTCAAATAATCTCGGGCAATCTTCCCATCTTGAGGTCCTTAAATGAATCATGTCTTTCAAGCCCTTATTACCATATAAGGGAGCATATTCACAGGTTCTGGGAATTAGGATGCGAACATCTTTTGGAAGTGAGAGGACCATTATTCTGTTTATTGCATGAACGAAAACAGATTTCATACTGATAGTTAGAGCTTTCAATATGCAAAATTCATGTGATAATCCATAAAGATGGGAAGGTTTGGTGGTCCCAGAGCCACAGTTCCTTTGCTCTGCTCCTATTAAAACGTGGTCTTGTGTCCCATTACATTCAGAATAAAATCCAAGTTCCTCCCTGCAGTCTGCATGGCCTATCAGGATCAGGCCCCTGCCTCCCACTTCAGTGTTGTGTTCAAACACTCTCCTTGTCCCTCACTAAGTGACAGAAGACCCTGGCATTCTTTTGTGGTGAGCACCCCAGGCTCACTTCTGCCTGAGGCCATTGAAACCAGCTGTTCCTCTGAGATCCTCATTCCCAAGAGATTTTCATGGTCAACTTGTCTTCTCATTCTGGTCTCACTCAGTTGTCACCTACCCAAAGGCCTTCTCCTGGACCTTCTCAGGTGTGCCCTATGCTGGGAGAGGTTCGGTTTCAGGAGTGAACTCAGTAGGGCTTGCAACCAGAGCTTCGGGCTCATGGACAACAAGGCTGTTGAGCAGCACTGAGCTGCGTCTCTGCCACTCCAAGCACTTGGATAGGAGAGAAATATTTTGAGATACCTCCAGACTCTGTGTCCATGTTTTCATTCTTTCATCCAGCAAATTGAGATTAATGTAGGGTAGTCTTTCTAAAAATGCTTCATACATATGTACTCATTAATTCTTTAATTGGAGAATGAGACCTTCTATAGACCAGTCTCACAGGCCATAGATTGACAAAGAAAAACTATAACAAAAGGTCTCTGGGGACACTCAATGAGAGGTGTGATTTCCTTTTCCTTTGTTTTGTTACATTTCAAAATGGACGTCACCCACCACAGGAGATATACTTTGGGGCTTTATGGGAGACTATCCGTGAAGGAGGCTTTTAGGTTACGAAGCAGTGTGACTCAGTGGGAAATGCTGGTATTGTGTTTTACAGGTGCCCATGGGATATGTGAGGCTGTCTTTGCTTGGGTTACCCCCAAAAGCAGATTTTGAAGCAAAGATTTAGGTGCAGCCATAGCTTGAGGAAAGTGACTCCAGGAAGCATGATGAGGATGCAGAGAGTGGGAGGTGGAGGGTGGTGAGACAGGGATGGGCAGATGTCAGAGGCTCTCCTTTTGTCTTGATGAGCAGGTTTTCAATGCAGGCTCCATCCCACAGGATGCACTCTGAGAGTGGACAGAGCTTGGCTCTGCATTGCCTCTCTAATGGCAAGGAAGCTGGGGTTCGAACCCACTCATTCTCATTTTTATTGGGTCAGCTGCAAGTTGAACTCTCCGTAGTAGATGCTCAGACAGAATTTGAGGTGCAAAATGTAAGGGACAAAGACCTGGGAAAGAGAGAATTTGGAGTCAAACTTGGTTGCAGAATCTACGTCAGCCAGCCCAGAAGTGAATTCTGGGGCAGGCATTGCTGATCTCAGTGGCCAGCATCAGGCAAAAAATGGGCCTTTGCACCCCATCTCACTCAGGCACCAGGTCCACTGCCCTGGGAGGGGTGTGATCTCAAGTGAGGGGGCTCTCTGTATCTGGGGAAGACTGCAGGGGAGACCCAGCGGGAGCCTGTCTGATGAGTGCCCCTCCTCTCCTCCAAGCTGGGATCTGGGTTACTCCCAGGTTTTTACCTGAATACCTGTGAGGGTAATCCAGAATGGCAATTGCTGTCCCCTCATAATTTAATGTGAAAAAAACTCCCACAGAGGAGAAAATACTTTTCTAAGACCACATGTCCTCTTAGGAGCAGACAGAACATCTGAGTCCTCAACCAGCATGATTTCTGGGAATGGCATCTTGCATCCGTCTTTGTCATCTTACAAATTGTTCTAGGAAAGCATTTGGAGTCCTGGTTCCATTTTTCTATATTAAAAGATAAAGGGATAGCTTTCAGAAGAAAAACCCAATCTTCCCTAAGACAGCTTCTCTAGAGGCTACTTCATGCCCCCTTGAAATAATGAGTTTCTATTTCTGACCCATCGTAATGAAATTGGCTTTGCTAAATCACCTGCGGGTGGCTTGAAGTGTCCACCTCTGAGGCTGCACGAAATCCAGGTGGGGGAGCACTCTGCAGCATGGAGCTGCCTAGATTTTGGTGGAGTCTCTGGGTAGATGCAAGGGGCTTTTCTCAGGAGCTGTAGCCCCTCCCTGTGGACCAGTGCCTTGTAGTGCAGTTGAAAGCTTTGACCCATTTCCATTTTTTTTAGATCTTCAGAAATATTTTAAAAATATGAAACTAACAAGAGAGTTACCAAAACTGTAGTATCATTTAAATATTTATATTTAATGAATTGACACTTTCAATGTACATATGAAACAACTGTTCTTGTTAAAAATGATTGTGGGTTTTATTAAAATAAACAATTTTCCAAAAAGCGTCAGGCTAATATTTCACTCTTCTAAACAGCTATGCCTATACCACTTGTTTGTGCCTGACTCCCTTTTGGCTGTTAACTAGTTTAGGTTGTTACTTCAGCAAACATGCAACTTGCATCTGCTGATGAAACTGAAGTGCATCACTGTGTGGCCACCACATTCTTGTTCAATTCTGACATGATATCTCTGTAGCTGTATGTACACAACATGACTCAGAGATAAAATACACAAACTAATGGTGATGGGCTTTGTAAAGGTGAAACTTGGGTTGGAAGCTTTCCTGACTTGAACCACCATGCACATCTCCTCGGAAAATCTCCAGATTACATCAAATGGTTCATTTCAGTAATGACTATAGTAATATTGGCAGTACCTGTGACTCTCCTGATACTGAGTGGAGAGCCCACAAGTTAGGAAGAGGCTGAATGGCACGGGTGCTAAGGGCCCAGTCTCTGGAGTCAGGCTGCCCTGATCCCAAGCCTGGCTCCTATGTTCCCAGCTATGTGACTCTGGGCAAGTCACCTTACCTTTCTGAGGGTCGCCTTCTCCATCCTAAAATAAGGCTAATAATAGAACCTACTTGTGATAGTCATTAGTGCTGCTTACAAATATTTCTACCTGTTGGGTAGAATCAATGTAACTGACAATGTAAGTGTGACCAGATGTCAACTGTATCACTTCTGGGCTGGAAAATGTTGTCCCCATGACAAGAAACTTCAGAGTGTTATTTCCACGTGAACATTTGCTTTCTCATATAGAGGCTGCTCCATCAGCCTGGTTCTTGGTATATGGACCATGGATGTAATAGGCTTAAGCTAATGATGGACACATGTATCAGCAAGAAATAAACCTTTGTTATTTTAAGTCAAAAAAACTTATGATATGCTAGGGATTTTTTGTTACAGCAGCGAATCTCATCTATCCTGTCCGATTCACCATCTCACAGGGTCATCGTCAGCATTCAATAAGTTGGTATGTGTAGTAAGTGTTGCACAGTGCCCAGCACGGGGCACCTCTCAAAAACACAACTGTGATTGTCATGCTTGGTCAGTCTGCTGGAACTCAGTCCTCACTTTGCATGGTGATCCTGGCCAGCCTGTCCATATGATCTGAGGATGCTGCCAGCATCACAATGCACGGGGAAGAGCTCAGAAGGGAGGCAGGAGTTAAAGACCTAGTTCAGCCAAGATTGTGATCTGGCAAGACCCCATTGACATCTCTAGTTATGTTGCTCACAGCTGCAATAGGAGGGGGTTAAAGTAGGTGAGGTCTGAGGCCCAGGTGTGTCCAAACTGCAGTTTTCAGACTGCCATAAATTTGTTTAACAGAGTTGCTGCCTAGGCATTCACCTACAGGTCTGTCATCAGTTGTTTAAAACCCAGTCATAACTTGTCATCTTTGGCCTCATTAAACCTCCCCCTCCCCGTGTGCAATTTGCGATACAGCCAGCTTGTCCTCATCTCACTGACCCCAAATCCACAAATGCCACAGCTGCTGACCATGATAAAATTTACTTGTCAACACCAGAGTGATGTAAATAAGTTCCCTACTTCCAGCATGTTTTCTTTAGATATCCAACCCATAACCCCCATGGGAAAGCCTAAAGGAGAATGTTCACGAACCTTAATAAAGGTGAAGTCCCACAGGTCCTCTCTCTCTCCCCTCCTGCTGGTTGACGTCTCCTTTGCCTCCAGACCTCCCCTCAGCCTCCCATCGGCACCCATAACCTCTCTGGGGTCTGTAAGTAATAAATTCATTCTCTTCCATGCATTTTGGCTTCATCTTTTCATTGTGTCTCTGACTGACACATTTGACTCTAACTCTCCTCCTGTCAGGGCCCTCCTAAAAGATGGCTATCTCAGCTTGTGACCCCTGTCAATAGAGAGAACTGAAGACTAACTTAGACAAAAATCATGACAATGAAAAGCACAATACAGACACTCCACGCTCCTTCACACAGAGCAGCTGCTCTGTCTTCATCAGTTGTACAGAGTGTGGCTCTGTGAAAGTTTTATTTGATGAAATGGGGAACCCTCCATGTTCAAATGGTGACAGGCAGCATTTGGGGTGTGATGGGGGCCAGGCAGATGTGTGTTCACATCCTGCTTCTTCCACTTTCCAGCTCCAGAATCTTTGCAAAGTTATCCAAATACTTTGAGCTTTAGTTTCTTCATTTACAAAATTCATTACATAAATTGTTGGAACAAACAGTTTTACATGTTTATGATGTGCCAAGCATTGTTCCAGACCCAGGGGAGAAAGCAGTAAATCAAACAAACTTAGTCCCTGTTCTAGAGCTTCTAGTATAGTGCTGCAGTGTCTGAACCTTTCTTCATTCTGTGGATCATTTTGGCAGTCTGAAGAAGCCTGTAGAACCTTCTCACATTATTATTTATAGTGAAATAAAGTATAAAGTACTTTACATGCATAAAGTAAAATACATAGCATCACAAAGGAGATAAATTATACTGCAATGTATGTATCACAATCTGTGAAACAGTAATAACATATCAATTTCCTTGTTAGTAACCAGATTGATATGGTTTGGCTGTGTCCCCACCCAAATCTCATCTTGTAGCTCCCATAATTCCCACATGTCATGAGAGGGACCCGGTGGGAGGTAACTGAATCATAGGGACGGGTCTTTCCCATGCTGCTCTCTTGATAGTGAATAAGTCTCACGAGGTCTGATGGTTTCATAAAGGGGAGTTTTCCTGCACAAGCTCTCTCTTGCCTGCCTGTCTTGCATGTAGGATACCCCTTTCTCTTCCGCCATGATTGTGAGGCCTTCCCAGCCATGTGAAACTGTGAGTCAATTAAACCTCTTTCCTTTATAAATTACCCAGTCCCGGGTACGTCTTCATTAGCAGCGTGGGAACAGACTAATACAAAGATCTAGTGATGGGTCAAATAGCTAGCATAATTTTAAAGTAGTGGTGAATATAAGTGACGTTTTAAAACATCAGCCATGACTGTAATATGATATGAAAATATAATTTCTACTATTAACAAAGTCACACATACTGCTAATATTACTATGGTCATTACTGAAATGAACCACTCAATGTAATTTGGAGCCTCTAAACTTTGGTTTGAATTCTATTTCTGCCATAGTTTTCAGTTGTCATCTTGGAAAAGACAACTCGCTTCTAGGACACCTGTGTCCTCCACAAGATGAACAGAGCAGGAGCTATGCAAGAAAGTGTTGTCTGAAAGAGACACAGTGTCTGGAAAGAACCTGTGCGTTAAGTAGGATGGTTTTGCTTACAAGTGAAAACACCCACTCTGATAGAATGAGCGTTGGGTGTGTGCCAATTCTTGAACCCATTTCAAGGGACAGAGGAATGTGAGATGCTGACTGCCTGCAGGCCTTGGTCCAGGCAGTACCTCTGGAACTGGGGATGATGTCAGCTCAGATAAGAGAAATATAAATAAAAGTGGCTGGGGGAGAGTAATTTTCTCAGGATTGCAGGACAATGAACATAGCAGGTTTGGGATGAAGTGCTATGTAACCACAGTTCCATAATCAGGACCTTGCTTCCTGAGTTAAGTTGCTCTGCCTGTTTTTACAGTGTTTTAAGATGCACCAAGATTCAACATTTTTAACACTAGTATTGGGAGTTATTTCCAATTTTCACCATGACATACAAACAGAGATTAGTTAAATTCTGGATGTCAGTACTCCCTTGTGATCACACAGTCCTAGTCACTGGGTTGGTACCTCTGCCTCTTTGCTTCAGTCATGATTCACCTGCTTCCCAATAGTGAATGCAAGTCCTGAATTTGAAGTATTAAGAAAGGGCATGCATTCTTTTTCCTTGTCCAGTAACAGGATCAGCTGAAATCAAATAACTAAAATTGTTCTCCTGGGATCTCTCTTTCAAGTGGAATTTGTAAGCAGTCATATCCATGAGCTACACACTTCACAGAAATCACCAAACTGCTTTGGGCACCTTGTTCCCACTTAACTATAATGCTTCTCATTTTCCTTCTCTAGATGAGGCCCCCACAACTGCCATCCATCACAACATCATAAGCTTTTAGGAAGTGATCACTTGAGCATAGAAATGAACAGTGTTGTTATAACATAAAGATATCTCAAGCTGTCAATTCCTGTAGACCCCTGGATCCCAGAGGGTGGCATTGTTTAAAGAAGGGCACACAATTGCCCATATTTAAGAAGAAATAGTTATTTCTTGGAAACTGCTAAATTTTCGTATGAAAGTAGATAAGCATTCTGTTTCAAAGTGGATTCTTTGAAAGCAATAGTGAAATCTTTAGGATTGCTGAGAGTTTGTAGCTAACTGAATACTATGGTTCCCATTTGCAGAAAAAGAGTTGCCTACATTGGAAAATCTATCATTTTGCATTTAAGAAAACCAAAGCAAATAAACAAACAAAGAAAAACATATGGTTTCCTCTTATCGGGGGGAAATTCGTTGAAGGACTAAGAAAAGGATTTTTTTTTTGCTTTTAGTAAGTGACACAACATTTTGGTGTGTTTTTGTAAAGAGGTCGATGTTAGGGACTGGTCATTTTCAGTGTTGTTTTATGTATTCTTGAGAAATAAATCTACTCATCTAAGAATGGAATGTTCAGGACAATGGCCACTAGCTGCATGTGGCTATTTAACTTTAAATAATTTCAAAATTCAGTTCATGGGTTGCATTGGCCTCATGTCCAGGGCTCAGCAGTCACAGTGGGCACTGCATTGATCAGCATAGAGTACAGAACACCTTCACTGCAGAAGGTCCCATTGCACAGTGCTGCCCAAGCCTTATGAAGAGAAATGATGGGGTGGGTTTGACGTGATACAGGAAAACAAAAACAGTTTTGCAGCAAGTGGTTCCATTAATATGTGTTCGTGTCCTGAAATATTATGCGTAAATGTTTGAAAATCACATCACATCATGATTGGTTTGGATTATAATAACTTAGCAAAGCATCTTATTTGTACATTCAGCTGGCTTAATAGGTTCATATGGCTTTACTTTTCCATTTGAAGGATAAGATGGGGAATAATTTATCAAACAGAAAAACAATACTCGTCATAATTGGCCTTCTAGTTTTTGGTTTTTTAATAAGGCATTGGAAGAACGCTCTCAGATTCTTTCTGACATGAATTCTCTCCTGTTTCTCCTGACATCACCTGTTTCTTTTTGGTGAATCTAATGTGGAAGAAATAGATATATAATTTATATTATAGAATTATATTTAATTTATATATAAAATATGTTTTTCAAAAATCCTACAGCTTATTTTCTTATTTAAAAAATAAAATTGATTTGGAAGGATGAAAGGGATGAGAGTTCTCCATGAATTTTCCCTAAAAACATTGTTTTCTTTCCTCCTTTTTTTCTAAGGAAACCGTTGAACATTTTATAAATTTGTCTTAACTAGGCGCACTCCTCTGAGATGCATCTTAGGCCTTGAGTTTTAGGTCACTGTGGCAGGTCTAGGATTTAACAAGGGGCATGTTTTGCCCTTCCCCAAGTCACCTGCACTTAATACAGCATCAGACAATGGAGTCTATGAGAGATGACAGTTGCTGTGCTATTTTGTGTTTTGTTTTGTTTTGATGTGCCCTCTCTGTTTCATGTCCTGTGCTGCACTTTAACATACAAAATTAGTTAGGCCTGTCTCTTCCTTGAAGTTCCCAGTACAGCCAAGAGGCAAAGATGGAGTGTGTGTGAGGGACAGAGAGCGTAGCCCAAGACTCTTGCCATTGGAACCTATGTGGCACCTACCAGCTTACAGTTTCTACTGAACAACAGGGTTCATTTATGTTTAAGTAAAATCTTCATTTCAGGCTCGATTTTTAACAGTTTCATGCTTTTCCTCTGGAGTTTTCCTCCCTGTAGTGCCATGTAATCAAGCTTAGGTTTTAATTAAACAGGTGCTATTCGCTTGTTAGTCCTGTGGAAACCTGATGTTTCCCAAATTTTAATTTAGTCCACGCTGGATAAGAACATTTCTTCAGACAAAAAAGAAACGTGATTAGTGAGGTATAGTGGAAATGAGGCAGAAATGTACTGAAGTGTGGATAGATTCAGGTAGAGGAGGAATAAACACTTAAGTAATTGTAATCAGGCATTGGAGCTGGGGTGTATGCAGATCAAGCTGCATTGGTAGGAGCAGAGGATGCAGAAGCACAGGGAATCCACACTAAAGTTCACAACTGAAAGTTATCTACCTACTTCTGTCTTCATGTCCTTCTGCTGTATGTCTGTCTTTCTGTCTACCTTGGAGCCTCATTCTCTCTCTCCCTCAGTCTGCAGTTGTCTACGTGTCTCTAAGGTGATCTTCTTTGTCTGTTTCTACCTATCTGAACTCTGTTTCTGTCTCTATTTAAACCTGCATGTTCTTTGCCTCCCTTTCTTTCTGTATTTCTTTCTGCCACATGTCATATTTCTCTCTGTCTCTAATCATGTTTGCTCTCTAATTGCTAATCTCTAGCCCTGTTTGTTTAAGGTTATCTTTCTTTACCTCTCTTAAATATCCTATTTCTTCTGTTTCTGTCTCTCTGTTATGCTTCTCTCTTTACTTAGGCTTGGTGCACTCTTACGTGGTCTCTTGTTTTTCCATCTTACCATCAATCCTCTTTTTTTGTAGCTCTCTGTCTGTTTGCCTCTACATTTCTCATTGTTTTTCCTCCTCTTTCCCCAAGAAGGGATCTCCTTAGCCTGTCCTTCTTGGCTCAAAATGAAGCAGTTACATATGCCTCTGACAGACTGATAGGAACCTGTCTCTCAAACAGCATCCTCTATTCAGCCTCAGAAAATAAATACCATGGGTGCTGAGAACATCAATGCTTCATTCACCTATTCCTTGCCTTCATGGAAAGCTGAGTCTTTATAGTAGAATGATTTATAATCCTTTGGGTATATACCCAGTAATGGGATTCCTGGGTCAAATGGTATTTCTGGTTCTAGATCCTTGAGGAATCTCCACACTGTCTTCCACAATAGTTGAACTAATTTACACTCCCACCAACAGTGTAAAAGCATTCCTATTTCTCCACATACTCTCTAGCATCTATTGTTTCCTGACTTTTTAATGATCGCCATTCTAACTGGTGTGAGATGGTATCTCATTGTGGTTTTGAGGTGTGGTGTTTCATATGTTTGTTGGCCACATAAATGTCTTCTTTTGAGAAATGTCTGTTCATATCCTTCACTCACTTTTTGATGGGGTTGTTTGTTTTTTCTTGTAAATTTGTTTAAGTTCCTTGTAGATTCTGGATATTAGCCTTTTGTCAGATGGATAGATTGCAAAAATTTTCTCCCAATCTGTAGGTTGCTTGTTCACTCTGATGATAGTTTATTTTGCTGTGCAGAAGTTCTTTAGTTTAGTTGGATCTCATTTATCAATTTTGGTTTTTGTTGCCATTGTTTTTGCTGTTTTAGTCATGAAGTCTTTGTCCATGCCTATGTCCTGAATGGTATTGACTAGGTTTTCTTCTAGGGTATTTATGGTTTTAGGTCTAACATTTAAGTCTTTAATCTATCTTGAATTAATTTTTGTATAAGGTGTAAGGAAGTGGTCCAGTTTCAGTTTTCTGTATATGGCTAGCCAGTTTTCCCAACACCATTTATTAAATAGGGAATCCTTTCCCCATTGCTTGTTTTTGTCAGGTTTGTCACAGATCAGATGGTTGTAGGCCTCTGTTCTGTTCCATTGGTCTATACATCTGTTTTGGTACTAGTACCACGCTAAAGAAAATGAGGCACATATATACCATGGAATACTATGCAGCCATAAAAAAGTATGATTCCATGTCCTTTAAAGTGACATGGATGAAGCTGCAAACCATCATTCTCAGCAAACTAACACAGGAAGAGAAAACCAAACATTGCATGTTCTCACTCATAAGTGGGAGATGAACAATGAGAACACATGGACACAGGGAGGAGAACATCACACACCAGGGCCTGTCAGGGGGTAGGTGGCTAGGGGAGGGAGAGCATTAGGAGAAATACCTAATGTAGATGACGGGTTGATGGGTGCAGCAAACCACCATGGCACGTGTATAACTATGTAACAAACCTGCACGTTCTGCACATGTATCCCAGAACTTAAAGTATAACAACAACAAATAGCTGAGGCTGGGCCATGCAAGGAGTTTGTTCAAATTCTTCATACTTTTCTGTTTATTTTAAAACAATATGAGCCTGCACAGATACCAACACAGCAAAAGCCACTCACAGCTCATTTTTCCAATTGCATCCTCATTGCCTCATTGAAAACAATTTCCCTTAAGGGGTTAAGGGCATTGACTAAGAGTGTGCGTTTCAGAGATGGACATCCATGGGTGTGATTCAACCTCTGGTACTGACTAGATGTGTGGCTTTGAGTGAGTAACTACACACCTCAGTGACCTTTTCTAAAAAGTTGGTTTAACGATGGTAGTTCCTTCTCAGGGTGTCTGCTCTTGCCTTGGTATCCACTTGGACTGCTCTGGTCTTAATCTTTACCTGCTTGGCTCATGCATATTTCCTTTTGGTGAAGCCGACTTCCCTTAGGCTTTCCAAACCAGCTTTTTCTCCCTTTTAAGTAGATCATAATTTTTAAAAGAATTCTTCATCACTGAACATTTGGAAAGAACTTTTCATCTTTGCAAAGCTGGCAGACTGGGGATTATTACTTCCATCTTTATGAATGGGAAACGAAGACTAGAGAGATTATTGCTGGGTCTGAGTCACCAGGAAGTTGGTGGCAGAACTAGGACTTGAACCTGTCTCTCCTGATTCTCCTCACAGCCATTTGTCTTGCATCCTTAAGTTGCTGGTGTAATGATCAGTGTCTGTAGTTGAAAAAGCAAAGCATGCATACAAGTGAAGGAATCATTGGTACTTCTAGGTTCCTGTGGAAGGCATGATGCCTTTAGATCACCAATCCCTCAGTGAGGTCAGATTGCAGAAGATATTGATTTATTTTTTATTAGAACCCTTTGGTTGGGACTTTTCTGATTGCAAATAAGAGAAACTTGCTGGAGCTAGCTGGAGCACAGATAGGATTTATTATGATAACAGCGTGCCTCACTGACCCCAAAGACAGGGAAGGAGCCACTCCTCAGGAATGAGCTGGACCCAAAGCTCCAGGCTTATAGGAAGTTTCTTCCACCTTCCATCTCTGCTTCTGTCGGCACCTCTGCTTCATGCTTCCCTGCCTTCTCCACTTCCCAGGTCATGTGGCAGAAAGTAGCTACCAATCTTTCCTGAGTTAACGTCTCCTTCTTTCAAATGAGAGGTAGACCAAGGCTGGAATCCATTATTTCTTCCAATTCCCCAAGGGAATGGCTCATTGGCCCAATGTGTGTCATCTTTGGACCAATCCACAGCAGCTAGGTGGGCAGGGTTATATAGACATAATGGTTACCAGGCAACCCTTTGATGTTTCTGCGACAGTGGGGGTTAAGAACAGGAAAATTCCCAACAGGTGCTTATGGCAGCATTGATTAATGGCTTTGCACTCACTCAACAAACATTATTTGAATGCTATGCCAGGCACCTGGCACTGTGCTAGAAACTGGCTCAAAGAAATGCATTCCCTTCCCTTGTGGAGCTTACAACCCTGCTGTTTTTCTTTGATTCAGTTCTCATTCTCTGCAGGAAAAACATTCATCCTTAATGTTAATTTACCAGTTTCCACCTTGCCAATAGAGAGGTTAAAGATGCACCTATTCTTCATTCTGTAGGGCTAGTGGTGAATATTATTCTTGATCAAGTAAATATGTTGATGATATTCATAAGGCCTATTTCCCAACTGTCTTCTTTATTAGTGACTCCTAGTGTGCTGAGATAGTAGGAATTTACCATGGAGTTATCATTAAAACATGCTGCTCCAACATTTTACCCACCTTTCCTCTAATAATAACTGTTCCAATAATGTAAAGACAACACGCTGAGCTTAGCTGATGTCTTAGTCCATTTTGTGTTGCTACAAAGGAATACCTGAAGCTAGGTAAAGAGGTTTATTTGGCTCACAGTTCTGAAGGCTGTACAAGAAGCATACAGCTGTCATCTGTATCTGGTGAGGACTCAGGGAGCCTCCCCTCATAGCAGAAGGCAAAGGGAAGCTGACATCACATGGCGAGAGAAAGGAAGGAAGAGAAGAGGAAGGTGCCAGTCTATTTTTAATAACCAGACCTTGCAGGAAGTAAGAATGAAGATGCATTCACTTCCAGCAGAATGACACCAAGCTATTAATGAGGGATCTGCCCCCATACCTCAAGTACCTCCCACTGGGCCCACCTCCAACACTGGGGATCAAATTTCAACATGAGATTTGGAGGGAACAAATATTCAAACTATATTAGCTTATTTTTTAAATTTATTCTCTCTAGGTACTACCATATTTAAAATGCCTTTCATGTCCAGAAACTGATAGGTTGTGGAATTAGAAATTACATACTGTCTTGAATTAACATGTTAACTTGCTGTTTAATTTTCTGCAAATGCCACTCCCCATATATATTTAGTGTATTGGGGCCTCAGTTTCCCCACCTCCCAGCAGAAATTACTACTTCACTCCCTTCCCGAAAGATAGTATTTGGAACTAGTACTCTCGTACAATTATTTCCAGCTTTGAGATTATGCAGAGCAGTCAATAGATACGTCATTATTTAAAAGTTGAAACTAACTTGAACAAAATGAAAAGAGGGAGTGCCAGTGTGAAGTTAGAAAACAGTGTCACAAGACCACTCTCACTTGTGACACCAATTGCAAATTCATAGATCCTCAAAACCTTTGTTTTGATAATTCGCTAGAGGGACTCACAATATTGAAATAAATCTGTTATACTCATAATTACAGTATATACCGACAACAAAAATACACTAAAATTAGCAAGTGAGAGAGGAAGGAGAGCCAAATTCAGGAAAGTTGCAAACATGGAGCTTCCAGTGGTCCTCTCCTCATTAAGTCATAGCCATTGTTATTTTGTTGGCAATGATGCATGGCAATACACACTGAAGTCAGCCAATCAGGGAAGCTCATTTGAGTCATGAGGTCCAGAGTTTTTGCTGGGGCTCAAACACATAATCTTGCTGGACCATTCAGGTTGTTGGTCTCTGTCTTCAGGCCCTTCACAGGTCAAGCTGTCTTCAGGCCCTTCAGAGGTCAAGCTGATTTGTGTTACCCAAAGCCCCTACCCTAAATTACTTTTTTTGAATTTTGTGAGGCCCAAGAATCCCAGATAAACAAAGATACTTCTATCAGGCAAGAAACTTCAAGGACTTAGAGGTTACCTCCCAGGAGCCAAAACAGACCAGGTCTCTCTTTGGACAAAGCTAAATTCTTTACTACACTGTCATTTACTCTTAGGGTTGCTAGGGGTTGAATCTAAGGCCTCTTTTTATGTTCATAGAGAATGAGTTTGACATCTTCACTGGTAAAATTTTAGCCGCTCATAATGTTGCTGAAGTTGTAATACTAGATAGCTCCACAAAGATTCTTTTTCTGAAAAAATATATCCTTTTTTTTTCAGTTCATTTTTTATGCTGTTCACTGTCTACTTCTTACATAGCAGAACTTCCCGCTAATACTGAAGAGTGAGCTTCATTGCTACCACTTGCATATGTGCTCAATGTGTTTTGGAGGATCAAAGACACACTGTTTCCCACTGTTTGACCAACATGAAAACTGGATGGCAGTTGGTCTCTGTAAATAAACATAAATATGCTTTTAAAGCATAAAACTCAAAGCTGATTCACAATAGAGAGCTGAATGAAAGGCTCATCCACTGATGTATGAAGAGTGTTTGGCAGCCTCTGCTACAAGTGAATTATTTAAATGAATCTTTACCTTAGAGAAATACCTCTTTCCTTGTGCCAAAGATGTATAGGAGCTGCCCTAGGGATTTGGGGAGGTTATGAATGGAAGCTATAATAGGCAGCTGCAAATACTATGGAAAAGCTAAAGTATAGTCTTGGATGAAAATGTATATACATATATGAGGAAAGCACAAGTTTTGGCCAGACTTGATTTATTATTTAGCAAAATCACTCTGCTTTTGAGACTCCATTTGAGAAAATCAATGTGGTGTCTTCACTGTGGCAGTTCGAGAGGGAGGCTCTATGGTTGACGTGTGGGAGTTTGTGGAATGCACATGTTCAGATGAAGATGTCGTTAAAATATGCGGGGGCTTTATCTTCAGATCTCTTAAGTGTTCAGTCTCCTTTCTCATTCCTTCTGTATTGCCCAGGGTCTTATTCTGACTGAGCTTCCCATGCTCTGAAAGGCTGGAGGCCAGAATGGCCTCACTAAGGAGTGAAAGACTGATAGAGACTCTGGGATCAGTAGGACACAGCAGCAGGTCATGTTGCTTCCCTCTTTCTGGAATAGATATCCTGCTCACCATCTTAGCAGAAATAACCCTCTCATAGGGCAATATTTCCTAAAGTACATTTACACATCACCTTCACAGTTTTTGGCAAATGAACTTAACATTTGTGTCTTTATATATTTAGCATTTTTCTTTAATTCACTTTTTAGACTTAAAAAGAAAAAATAAATTCAGCCACACATCAAGTAAACAATTCATGAAACCATGAGTTTTGTGTGTTACCTTTCTTAATACACGTTAAGATGTTAAAGTTAATTTTTTCAAAGACCTTACAAATTTATCTAGGTACCAGCTAAAATAATCTTAAATATTGCCTGTATTATAAATTCTGCAGTTAGAAACTTTCTGTGGAACGTTATTCCTGTTTTTTGTTTGTTTTGACTTCTGTTTTTCCTCTAATTCTACTCTACTGGGTCTACAAATCCACCAGGATCCAGTGTCTGGCCCTGCTGTGCTCTTTGCAAAAGACTGAAATACAGACCTACTGTTTATTCTTTTTTTAAAAAAAACACAGTACAACTGCATTTTTGTAATAGGGCCCTTAAAAGGATCTGGAAGAAAACACTGGCTCTTCAGTTCCACCTGTCCTTTTCTAAGTTTCTGAGACTAGAGTCCAGTTTATTGTTTGTTTTAGGAAAAGGATAATAATAATGCTGAATTCTGCTACTCTACCTGTTCCACCTGTCCCTATACAGAGAATGAGCATAGATTTGTCTCAATCATAAAATCTTTAAGATGGATATAAAAGTCTGTAAGTATTTTCTAATGGTAGAAAAGGCCTTGGAAGAATTATTTTCTTCTGCTTGAAGCCTACTCTTCAGGGTGAAGATTTTTGAAGGTGGCTGCACCTTAAATAATGGCAGCTTTGATTTTTAAAAAATGGTGTTTCTGAGAGGCCTAACTTTTAAAATAATCATTCTTAGCAAAACTCAAAATTCTTACGATGTATTTTCTGGGCTTGGAAAATACAATTTTACTAAAAACAAAAGATAAACTGGCATATAATCTGCATAAATATCAATGTGTGAAAGGACTCCCTGCATTTGGAATTACCAAATAAAATATAGGACTTCCAATGCCCAGTTAAATCTGAATTTCAGACAAACAGCAGTGGTTTTTTTTTAGTCATAAATATTTTATGAGACATAATTACAATAAAAATCATTTGTTGCTTGTCTGAAATTCAAATATAGCTGGAAATCCTATATTTTTATTTTCTAAATGTGGCTGACCTATTTGTTACCTATGTACTCTATGGGCAGGTTTTAGTTGAATAAATTGAAACTCCTTAAATATTAAGTGTTTTGAAATATCTGAAGCAAATTTCAGAAGCTCATCTGCAAATAAACTAAAAATGATGATGATGCATTTTTTTCCTGGCTGACCTTTATGATGGACATAATTTATCATTCTCTCATCATTATTACAGTGGGGAGGCAAGCATTCCAGGGAGATGGTATCTGAATGCTTACACTATCATGGGCCTAAAGAAATCACTCAATCTGAAGTTCCCTAAGCCTTCTGTTCCCCTCCCAAGAGCCTGGTATGGAGTCCCCCACCTCTTCCCTTGAAGAACTCCACCTTGGGGAAGAAAATCCAAGCTCATGGAGGGCTGTGTATTAGTCTGTTTTCACACTGCTGATATAGTCATACCCAAGACTGGGTAATTTATAAAAGAAAGAGGTTTAATGGCCTCACAGTTCCACCTGGCTGGGGAAGCCTCACAATCATGGTGGAAGGTGAAAGGCATATCCTACATAGCAGCAGGCAAGAAAGAATGAGAGCCAAGAGACAGGGGAAACCCCTTATGAAATCACCAGATCTCGTGAGACTTATTCACTACCATGAGAACAGTATGGAGGAACCACCCCCATGATTCAATTATTTCCTACAGAGTCCCTCCCACAACACATGGGAATTATGAAAGCTACAATTCGAGATGAGATTTTGGTGGGGACACAGACAAACCATATCATTCCACCACTGGCCCCTCCCAAATGTCATGTTTTCGCATTTCAAAAACAATCGTGCCTTTCCAACAGTCCCCCAAAATCTTAACTCATTTCAGCATTAACTCAAATGTCCACAGTCCAAGGTCTCAACTGAGACAAGGCAAGTTCCTTCTGCCTATGAACCTGTAAAACCAAAAGCAAGTTAGTTACTCCTAGATACAATGGGGGTACAGGCATTGAGTAAATACATCTGTTCTATATGGGAGAAATTGGCCAAAACAAAGGGGCTAAAGGCCCCCATGCAAGTCCAAAATCCAGTGGAGCAGTCAAATCTTAAAGTTTCCAAATGATCTCCTTTGACTCTATGCCTCACATCGAGGTCATGCTGATGCAAGAGGTGGGTTCCCATGGCCTTGGGCAGCTCTGCCCCTGTGGCTTTGCAGGGTACAGCACCCCTTCTGGCAGCTTTCACAGGCTGGCATTGAGTGTCTGCAGCTTTTCCAGGCTCATGGTACAAGCTGTCAATGGAGCTACCATTCTGTAGTCTGGAGGGCAGTGGCCCTTTTCTCACAGCTCCACTAGGCAGTGCCCCAGTGGGGACTCTGTGTGGGGGCTTCAACCCCATATTTCCCTTCCTCAATGTCCTAGCAGAGGTTCTCTCCATGAGAGCCCCACTTGTGCAGCAAACTTCTGGCTTGACATCTAGGCATTTCCATACATCCTCTGAAATATAGGTGGAGGTTCCCAAACATCAATTCTTGACTTCTGTGCACTTGCAGTGCAGGCTCAATATCATGTGGAAGCTGCCAAGACTTGGGGCTTCCACCCTCTGAAGCCATGGCCTGAGTCGTACATTCACTCCTTTTAGCCATGGCTAGAGTGGCTGGGACTCAGGGTGCTGAGTTGCTAGGCTGCACACAGCAGGGGGGCCCTGGGCCTGGCCCACAAAACCATTTTTTCCTCCTAGGCCTCCAGGCCTGTGATGGGAGGGGCTGCTGCAAAGGTCTCTGACATGCTCTGGAGACATTTTCTCCATTGCCTTGTGATTAACATTTGGCTTCTCGTTATTCATGCAAATTTCTGCAGCCAGCTTGAATTTCTTCTCAGAAAATGGGTTTTTCTTTTCTGTCACATCGTAAGGCTGCAAATTTTCCAAACTTTTATGTTTCCCTTTTAAAACTGAGTGCTTTTAACAGCATTCAAGTCACCTCTTGAATATTTTGCTGCCTAGAAATTTCTTCCACCAGATACCCTAAATAATCTCTCTCAAGTTCAAGGTTCCACAAATATCTAGGATGGGGGCAAAATGCTGCCAGTCTCTTTGCTAAAACATAGCAAGAGTAACCTTTACTCCAGTTCCCAACAAGTTTCTCATCTCCATATGAGACCTTCTCAGCCTGGATTTCATTGTCCATATTATCATCATGGTTTTTGTCAAAGCCATTCAACAAGTCCCTCGAAAGTTCCAAACTTTCCCACATTTTCCTGTCTTCTTCTGAGCCCCCCAAACTGTTCCAACCTTTGCCTGTTACCAAGTTCCAAAGTTGCTTCCACTTTTTTTTTATATCTTTACAGCAGTTCCCCACTCTATTTCTACCAATTTACCATATTAGTCCATTTTCATGCTGCTGATAAAGACATAGCTGAGACTGGGTAATTTGTAAAGAAAAAGAGTTTTAATGGACTCACAGTTTCACATGGCTGGAGAGGCCTCCCCCACAATCACAGTGGAAGGTGAAAGGCACATCTTACATGGCACCAGACAAGAGAGAATGAGAGGCAAGTGAAAGGGGAAACCCCTTATAAAATCATCAGATTGCGTGAGACTTATTCACTACCATGAGAACAATATGGGAGAAACCGACCCCCTGATTCGTTTGTCTCCCACCAGGTCTCTCCCATAACATGTAGGAATTATGGGAGCTATAGTTCAAGATGAGATTTGGGTGGGACCACAGCCAAACCATATCAGATTGGATCCCATTATTGCATTATACTACCTTGTCTCTCCACAGAAACATACTGAAGCCATCCTGTGCCCAGCTCCATAGATAAATCACTTAGGAAGATGGTAGTTACATGCTTCACAGTTACTCTTGTAACTGAATGAAGATGGAACCTTCCTCTTAACCAGCCATGATCAGTGATTACACATGGAATCAAATGACCATGCTCACAGCTGCTCTAATACTTTTCTGGGAAAAGCCAGGTTCTGTAGGGGACTTGTGTAAAATGCAGGGATATAATTAATTAGCTGAAGTACACCATCCAATTAATGATAAACTCTATGACTCTGAGATGAATGATTCTCGGCACAGTTGTTCTCATCTTCATAGCAACTTCTGCATTCATCCCAAAGACACCTCCAAAGGTGCACAGGACTCATGAGCACCCTGCAGACAGATGCCAGCCTACGAACACTTTATTTCCACCAAGGTCCCGAAAACTATGTGATCCACAGAGATGGATTTTCAAGGAACAGTCAAGACCCTTATGGAATATCTGCATAATATTTACACATTGGGGAAACTCTGTGTTGAGACCCTGACTTACCCAAAAGAGAAAGTGTAACCTGGAGGAAAATTTAAGTTATGGCAATCCAAACACAAAATCTGCTAGCTTCTTTATGTCCCCAAGTTGCCTACACTTTTGAGGGATGAAATGGGGAAGTAGTTAGGACACAGAATCTGGAGGGAGGAAAAAAGATTTTGATAGGCTGGAACTTTGGGCCTAATGTAACAAGATTAGAAGAAATAAATGTAAAGTTCTGTATTTATATCTAAATGCATTTTCAAAAATAGCATACATCCCTATAAATAAATAAGCAAACAAACAAGAAAAATCACCTTTACAAGTGTATGACTTGGGAAATATAGCATAAAAGCAATGTCTATGAAGAAAGGCCTTGGATAGTTTTATCAATATTAGACTCCATATATGTGAGTTGTTAAATGAGGCTTCCCAAAGTACTAATGTGATATTTAACAGCAACAAATAATACCTATTTTCTAGAAAAGAGGTCAAAATACAACTAGCAACTTGACTGAAAGCCATGTTGGCATATAATTTTGTTTGTTTGTTTGATTATATTTGATATTGGACATAGAATTTAAAACTTAAATTATATGCTGCATATAAGATATAAAAAAACAGGCAATTTCAAATAGGAAACTGGATTTCTGTTGCTCTTGAAAAGCTTCAGCTAGGCTCACATTCCCACCTGGTTAACATCAGCTGGGACTGAGTGGCAACTAACTGTTATATGGTGCCTGTGGTCTCCAATGGACCTCAGTCCCCACCGCTCCCTCCTGTGTCTCTGGTATTAAGGTTGAAGGGCACAAGCCACTTCTCATCACACATAGCCTCTTGATTTTTAATATTAGAGTTCATAAAAAAAAGTGAAAAGTGAATGAATACTGGTCTCTACACGAAGTGGGCAACCAATGACAGGCCTCTCTTTGTCACTCTGTCCTAGGATTCCGTTGGCATTCTAGGCCATAATAGTAACACTGGGAAATTGACACATGTTCTGCCAGAGGGTAAGACTTCGGGGTGCTGAGGGACCTGGAAATTACATTACAGTATGAAAAGCTGAAGGAAGTGCAAGTGCTTAACTATGTGAGGAGAAAGAGAAACGTCCCAGGGCTGACACAAAGTGGAAGGCATGATGGCTTTTCCTTAAGTATTGAAAGGGCTGCTGAATGGACTACAGAGATTTGTTCTTTTTTCTGGATCTCTAAAGTGGAAAGTGTAAGGAAACCAATTCTTGCTCATTATAAAGAAATAAATATTTCAGAATCAGTATCTTACAATGGCCAACTTTTTCCGTCTTTGGTTAAAATGTGGCTTTACTACTTTGTAGCTATTTGATCTTTGGCAAGTTGTTAGCTCTTAATGCCTTAATTTCCTCGTGTGTAATATGGAGATGATGATGGTCTAATGGGATTGCACTGTATGCAGAGATTAGTTCTAAATCAGCATTCATTAGGCAGACTTTTTCACGAATGAAAGTGACCCTTTGAAATTCTGTAAATTAAACTTAAATCACAAGGACTCGGGCTCTTCAAAACTCAACATTTGAGAATTAATTTTCTTTTTTCTCTTGCATTTGGCTGTTGCTAAACTCTGTGGGTCCTTACATGTCCAAGTCTAGTTTAAAAGGGGTATCAAAGGCATCATAGATAGGTTTTATTTTTTTCTTACGATATTTTATTCTCAGCACATATAATTGAATTTTTATGTGTTAAATGTGCGTGTAATTAAATCTCATCAGGCAAGAATCAAGTAATACAGTATTTTTAAAAAGACAGCACAATGTTTAATCTGTCATACGTCTATGTAAGTATTCATATGTATATCTGTAAGTTTTGGTTTCTAATTGATTGGAAGCTTCATGGGTTCTAGGACTATGTTACTAAACAGTGGGTTTCCCATTACTTAGCAGAGTGCCTGGGATACTGTAAGTACACAGAGGACATAGTTAGAAGAAATAAGGAAGAAAAGGAGGGAAGGAAGGAAGGAAGAGAGGCAGGGAGAGAGGGAGAGAAGAAGGAAGGAAGGAAGGAAGGAAAGAGGGAAGGCGGGAAAGAGGAAAGGAAGGAAAGAGGGAAGGGGGAAGGAGGGAGGGAAGGAAGGAGGAAGGAAAGAAAGAGGGAAGGAAAGAGAGAAGGAGGGAGGCAGGAAAGGAAAGAAGTTGGTCCAATAATGGAATATGTGGTTGCCTAAATTGTTCCATAACTTTCTGGAGCATCTCCTGTGAATTCCTTTTCAACGGAGGAAATCAAAGAAAGAAGGAGCTCTCTATAGTCAAATGGGTTTTTATTGGGTGGAGACTTGGAATTGCATACTTAGATCTACGGTGTTTTTTTTTTTTTTTTTTTTTTGTCCTCATGGAAAGCATTTTTCCCAAAAACATTCACTGACCATATATTGTGTTCAGTGTAGTGCTCATAGGGCTTAGGATGCTATAAAAATGGAATGCATATGTCTTCTGCCCTTAGTCATTTACTTACTAGTTATAGATAAGGGAGCTAACTTTTATTATTGGCCAAGCACATTAGTAGCATTGACATATGTCTGCCTCATGTAAGACTTTAAGGTAGGTAAGGCTTTTACCTAAATTTTATACATGAAAAATCAGAGGCATTAGAGGGAAAGTAGCTTCCTAAAGGTTACACAGCTGGTGGGTGGTGGAGCTCAGGTTTCTACCCAACCTGCTGGCTCTGAGCCTGCATTCATACCCCTGTGCATGATGGCTTCATCTTCCTTTGAGTTTGTGTCCAACGTGGTGGGAGGAACGTCTCATGAACAGTAACAAAATGGCATTCCTATTGCTTCCCCACTGGAGGTGTCAGTTGGTTGATAGTGAGCTTTTCTGATATTTATAACACTCTATTGTTTTCAGCCACATCATCTGAAAGGCACGTTTTCTTCTCATTGTCAAGTTTCTTTGAAGGTCATCACAGGAAGGATAAAAGCAAGGATTTCAAGAGTGGTCATCTTTTCATGTCTCTTTTTCTGATAAATGATGGGCTTATGCATTTATGGGTCGGTAATTATATTGTTTGTCAATAAATTATGGCTTTCAGGACCGCAGAAGCCTGTTATGCATCATTAGCAAGTACTGAATTCCTTTCATTCTTGAAAAAGACACATAAATGGATCTATAATGGCACAGAGAGCGTGCCCACCAACTTATGTATGTGATAATTAAATGCCCAGGCCTCTGGCTTCAGCTGGACTAGGCAATAATGAAATGCTAAAGGCCTAATAAAAACATTAATATGCTTAAGTCTTCCATGCCCCGGGAAAGCACTTTGTGGACCTGGCTTATGAGTGCTTAAGGCGACATGTGATGGATGAGCTGTCATATGGAAATTTAAAGTTGTCCTGTTGCTTGCTTAGAAATGTGTAGCAAACTGGCTTCTAAATAGGGCAAAAGTGGCTTTGAAATAGCATCTGCATACCCTGGGTTAGAACACAGCAACTAGAAAAAAGCTCACTGCCCAAGATTTCCCAAAGGGTGAGATTTACAGAAAGGGTAAGATGGCAGGTGGTGTTTTCTGAATGGGGTGCTCTAAAGAGGTCATTTTGAGCAAACTTAAATGAGCTAAAGGCATCAATGAAGATTTAAGTAGAGACGATGTAGACAGTTGTGTAGGTAGCAATGGTCTGGCGGACCTAGAACACAACCTATATTAGTTAAACATTTTTGGTTACAAATAATGAAAGCACAGATCAAATTTTAAGCCAAAAATGAAATTAGTTGAGTCATGTACCCGAAGAGGGCTTTTAAGGTTTATTGCAAAGTTGGACTGCAGCCTTCTCTAGGACCTATTTTCTCTGTTTCTCAATACTGACGCCCTCTGTGTAGTCTTTATTCCCGGTCAGGCTCCTTCTGTATGGAGGGTTCCAACAAGTTCAGGGTTCATATTTTTCTAGCTTCTAGTCTGGTGACTAGAAGCTTTGTTCCCTGTCAATGCATCAAGAATTACCTGACTAAACAGACTTGGGTGTAGTGCCCATTTCTGAATTGGTAAAACTGTGGACATAACATGAAATATGTCCACTGGCCAGACCTGTGCCGCATATCCATATGTGGAGCTGAGAGTTCAACTTGAACTACTCCGTCCTCGGGAAAAACTGAGAAAATGGATAGGAAAAGAATGACAGCTATCCATTCAGTTTCCCATGAAAATTCCCTAGATTTTTTTTTAGGAAGAACACAATCAATCAGCAAATCCTGATAGAAAACCTACCATGTTGGAGGAACCATGGCAAACCTCCAGAGGCATTTGCAAACTATCTGAGGCATACTTTATGTGACCAAATGCCTACTGAGTGTCTAATTGTGCCAATTACCTACTGCTTTATACAAATCACCCTACAACTTAGCAATGTAGAAAAATAAGAATTTATTAAAATAAGAGTTTCTGAGGGTCAGGAATCTGGGAAAGGCTCAACTGTCTGGCTCAGGCTCGGGGTATGTAATGATATTGCAGTGAAGATGTTCACAAAAGCTGCAGTCATCTCCAGTCTTGCCTGGGGCTGCAAGATCCACTTCCAATGTGACTGGCTCCCACAGCTAAATTCATGCTGGATGTTATCATGAGGTCTCAGTTCCTCACCCCTTGGGTCTCTTCATAGGATCACTTAAAAGTTTTTATGACATGACAGCTGGCTGCCTGCAATGTGAAGGATTTAAAAAAGAGAGGAAGAAGTCACAGTGATGTTTATCTCTGAATCCCAACAACACTATAACTTTTGACACATTTTATTTATGACAAGCGGTCACTAAATACGGCCCACACTCAATGAGTACCCCTGACCAAAGATTTTATATGCTCCTCCCTGATGCAAAATATACTCACTTCCTCCCAGGATCTCAAAACCTTGTTATTTTAGATTGTCAATTCAAATTCAGGATTTGGGAGTTGAAATCAGGTTCAGGTACAGATGAGATTTCTGATTCTAAAGAGGTCCATGTTTTCCATTAGGGAAGCATATTTACCCTAGAAAATGATATCCCTAGATATGGAAAAAAGAAAAGGTTTTAGAGTTAGGTTGGCTTCAATTCTTCAGTACAACTTCAGGTTTTGCAAGAACATGTCAACCTGCAGAACCATGAGCTTCCACTAATATCAGAAGGTGAGGGGCAGCCAGTGTGTGCAGAGATCACATGGCGAGAGAGGGAGGAAAGTGAGGGAGGTTCCGGGCTCCTTTTTTTTTTTTTTTTTTTTTTTGAGTGGTTTTCTTTTTTTTTTTTTTTTTTTTTATTATACTCTAAGTTTTAGGGTACATGTGCACATTGTGCAGGTTAGTTACATATGTATACATGTGCCATGCTGGTGCGCTGCACCCACTAATGTGTCATCTAGCATTAGGTATATCTCCCAATGCTATCCCTCCCCCCTCCCCCGACCCCACCACAGTCCCCAGAGTGTGATATTCCCCTTCCTGTGTCCATGTGATCTCATTGTTCAATTCCCACCTATGAGTGAGAATATGCGGTGTTTGGTTTTTTGTTCTTGCGATAGTTTACTGAGAATGATGGTTTCCAATTTCATCCATGTCCCTACAAAGGATATGAACTCATCATTTTTTATGGCTGCATAGTATTCCATGGTGTATATGTGCCACATTTTCTTAATCCAGTCTATCATTGTTGGACATTTGGGTTGGTTCCAAGTCTTTGCTATTGTGAATAGTGCCGCAATAAACATACGTGTGCATGTGTCTTTATAGCAGCATGATTTATACTCATTTGGGTATATACCCAGTAATGGGATGGCTGGGTCAAATGGTATTTCTAGTTCTAGATCCCTGAGGAATCGCCACACTGACTTCCACAATGGTTGAACTAGTTTACAGTCCCACCAACAGTGTAAAAGTGTTCCTATTTCTCCGCATCCTCTCCAGCACCTGTTGTTTCCTGACTTTTTAATGATTGCCATTCTAACTGGTGTGAGATGATATCTCATAGTGGTTTTGATTTGCATTTCTCTGATGGCCAGTGATGATGAGCATTTCTTCATGTGTTTTTTGGCTGCATAAATGTCTTCTTTTGAGAAGTGTCTGTTCATGTCCTTCGCCCACTTTTTGATGGGGTTGTTTGTTTTTTTCTTGTAAATTTGTTTGAGTTCATTGTAGATTCTGGATATTAGCCCTTTGTCAGATGAGTAGGTTGCAAAAATTTTCTCCCATGTTGTAGGTTGCCTGTTCACTCTGATGGTAGTTTCTTTTGCTGTGCAGAAGCTCTTTAGTTTAATTAGATCCCATTTGTCAATTTTGTCTTTTGTTGCCATTGCTTTTGGTGTTTTGGACATGAAGTCCTTGCCCACGCCTATGTCCTGAATGGTAATGCCTAGGTTTTCTTCTAGGGTTTTTATGGTTTTAGGTTTAACGTTTAAATCTTTAATCCATCTTGAATTGATTTTTGTATAAGGTGTAAGGAAGGGATCCAGTTTCAGCTTTCTACATATGGCTAGCCAGTTTTCCCAGCACCATTTATTAAATAGGAAATCCTTTCCCCATTGCTTGTTTTTCTCAGGTTTGTCAAAGATCAGATAGTTGTAGATATGCGGCATTATTTCTGAGGGCTCTGTTCTGTTCCATTGATCTATATCTCTGTTTTGGTACCAGTACCATGCTGTTTTGGTTACTGTAGCCTTGTAGTATAGTTTGAAGTCAGGTAGTGTGATGCCTCCAGCTTTGTTCTTTTGGCTTAGGATTGACTTGGCAATGCGGGCTCTTTTTTGGTTCCATATGAACTTTAAAGTAGTTTTTTCCAATTCTGTGAAGAAAGTCATTGGTAGCTTGATGGGGATGGCATTGAATCTGTAAATTACCTTGGGCAGTATGGCCATTTTCACGATATTGATTCTTCCTACCCATGAGCATGGAATGTTCTTCCATTTGTTTGTGTCCTCTTTTATTTCCTTGAGCAGTGGTTTGTAGTTGTCCTTGAAGAGGTCCTTCACATCCCTTGTAAGTTGGATTCCTAGGTATTTTATTCTCTTTGAAGCAATTGTGAATGGGAGTTCACCCATGATTTGGCTCTCTGTTTGTCTGTTGTTGGTGTATAAGAATGCTTGTGATTTTTGTACATTGATTTTGTATCCTGAGACTTTGCTGAAGTTGCTTATCAGCTTAAGGAGATTTTGGGCTGAGACGATGGGGTTTTCTAGATAAACAATCATGTCGTCTGCAAACAGGGTCAATTTGACTTCCTCTTTTCCTAATTGAATACCCTTTATTTCCTTCTCCTGCCTGATTGCCCTGGCCAGAACTTCCAACACTATGTTGAATAGGAGCGGTGAGAGAGGGCATCCCTGTCTTGTGCCGGTTTTCAAAGGGAATGCTTCCAGTTTTTGCCCATTCAGTATGATATTGGCTGTGGGTTTGTCATAGATAGCTCTTATTATTTTGAAATACGTCCCATCAATACCTAATTTATTGAGAGTTTTTAGCATGAAGGGTTGTTGAATTTTGTCAAAGGCTTTTTCTGCATCTATTGAGATAATCATGTGGTTTTTGTCTTTGGCTCTGTTTATATGCTGGATTACATTTATTGATTTGCGTATATTGAACCAGCCTTGCATCCCAGGGATGAAGCCCACTTGATCATGGTGGATAAGCTTTTTGATGTGCTGCTGGATTCGGTTTGCCAGTATTTTATTGAGGATTTTTGCATCAATGTTCATCAAGGATATTGGTCTAAAATTCTCTTTTTTGGTTGTGTCTCTGCCCGGCTTTGGTATCAGAATGATGCTGGCCTCATAAAATGAGTTAGGGAGGATTCCCTCTTTTTCTATTGATTGGAATAGTTTCAGAAGGAATGGTACCAGTTCCTCCTTGTACCTCTGGTAGAATTCGGCTGTGAATCCATCTGGTCCTGGACTCTTTTTGGTTGGTAAACTATTGATTATTGCCACAATTTCAGAGCCTGTTATTGGTCGATTCAGAGATTCAACTTCTTCCTGGTTTAGTCTTGGGAGAGTGTATGTGTCGAGGAATGTATCCATTTCTTCTAGATTTTCTAGTTTATTTGCGTAGAGGTGTTTGTAGTATTCTCTGATGGTAGTTTGTATTTCTGTGGGATCGGTGGTGATATCCCCTTTATCATTTTTTATTGTGTCTATTTGATTCTTCTCTCTTTTTTTCTTTATTAGTCTTGCTAGCGGTCTATCAATTTTGTTGATCCTTTCAAAAAACCAGCTCCTGGATTCATTGATTTTTTGAAGGGTTTTTTGTGTCTCTATTTCCTTCAGTTCTGCTCTGATTTTAGTTATTTCTTGCCTTCTGCTAGCTTTTGAATGTGTTTGCTCTTGCTTTTCTAGTTCTTTTAATTGTGATGTTAGGGTGTCAATTTTGGATCTTTCCTGCTTTCTCTTGTAGGCATTTAGTGCTATAAATTTCCCTCTACACACTGCTTTGAATGCGTCCCAGAGATTCTGGTATGTGGTGTCTTTGTTCTCGTTGGTTTCAAAGAACATCTTTATTTCTGCCTTCATTTCGTTATGTACCCAGTAGTCATTCAGGAGCAGGTTGTTCAGTTTCCATGTAGTTGAGCGGCTTTGAGTGAGATTCTTAATCCTGAGTTCTAGTTTGATTGCACTGTGGTCTGAGAGATAGTTTGTTATAGTTTCTGTTCTTTTACATTTGCTGAGGAGAGCTTTACTTCCAACTATGTGGTCAATTTTGGAATAGGTGTGGTGTGGTGCTGAAAAAAATGTATATTCTGTTGATTTGGGGTGGAGAGTTCTGTAGATGTCTATTAGGTCTGCTTGGTGCAGAGCTGAGTTCAATTCCTGGGTATCCTTGTTGACTTTCTGTCTCGTTGATCTGTCTAATGTTGACAGTGGGGTGTTAAAGTCTCCCATTATTAATGTGTGGGAGTCTAAGTCTCTTTGTAGGTCACTGAGGACTTGCTTTATGAATCTGGGTGCTCCTGTATTGGGTGCATAAATATTTAGGATAGTTAGCTCCTCTTGTTGAATTGATCCCTTTACCATTATGTAATGGCCTTCTTTGACTCTTTTGATCTTTGTTGGTTTAAAGTCTGTTTTATCAGAGACTAGGATTGCAACCCCTGCCTTTTTTTGTTTTCCATTGGCTTGGTAGATCTTCCTCCATCCTTTTATTTTGAGCCTATGTGTGTCTCTGCACGTGAGATGGGTTTCCTGAATACAGCACACTGATGGGTCTTGACTCTTTATCCAACTTGCCAGTCTGTGTCTTTTAATTGCAGAATTTAGTCCATTTATATTTAAAGTTAATATTGTTATGTGTGAATTTGATCCTGTCATTATGATGTTAGCTGGTGATTTTGCTCATTAGTTGATGCAGTTTCTTCCTAGTCTCGATGGTCTTTACATTTTGGCATGATTTTGCAGCGGCTGGTACCGGTTGTTCCTTTCCATGTTTAGCGCTTCCTTCAGGAGCTCTTTTAGGGCAGGCCTGGTGGTGACAAAATCTCTCAACATTTGCTTGTCTATAAAGTATTTTATTTCTCCTTCACTTATGAAGCTTAGTTTGGCTGGATATGAAATTCTGGGTTGAAAATTCTTTTCTTTAAGAATGTTGAATATTGGCCCCCACTCTCTTCTGGCTTGTAGGGTTTCTGCCGAGAGATCCGCTGTTAGTCTGATGGGCTTTCCTTTGAGGGTAACCCGACCTTTCTCTCTGGCTGCCCTTAACATTTTTTCCTTCATTTCCACTTTGGTGAATCTGACAATTATGTGTCTTGGAGTTGCTCTTCTCGAGGAGTATCTTTGTGGCGTTCTCTGTATTTCCTGAATCTGAACGTTGGCCTGCCTTGCTAGATTGGGGAAGTTCTCCTGGATAATATCCTGCAGAGTGTTTTCCAACTTGGTTCCATTCTCCACATCACTTTCAGGTACACCAATCAGACGTAGATTTGGTCTTTTCACATAGTCCCATATTTCTTGGAGGCTTTGCTCATTTCTTTTTATTCTTTTTTCTCTAAACTTCCCTTCTCGCTTCATTTCATTCATTTCATCTTCCATTGCTGATACCCTTTCTTCCAGTTGATCGCATCGGCTCCTGAGGCTTCTGCATTCTTCACGTAGTTCTCGAGCCTTGGTTTTCAGCTCCATCAGCTCCTTTAAGCACTTCTCTGTATTGGTTATTCTAGTTATACATTCTTCTAAATTTTTTTCAAAGTTTTCAACTTCTTTGCCTTTGGTTTGAATGTCCTCCCGTAGCTCAGAGTAATTTGATCGTCTGAAGCCTTCTTCTCTCAGCTCGTCAAAATCATTCTCCATCCAGCTTTGTTCTGTTGCTGGTGAGGAACTGCGTTCCTTTGGAGGAGGAGAGGCGCTCTGCGTTTTAGAGTTTCCAGTTTTTCTGTTCTGTTTTTTCCCCATCTTTGTGGTTTTATCTACTTTTGGTCTTTGATGATGGTGATGTACAGATGGGTTTTCGGTGTAGATGTCCTTTCTGGTTGTTAGTTTTCCTTCTAACAGACAGGACCCTCAGCTGCAGGTCTGTTGGAATACCCTGCCGTGTGAGGTGTCAGTGTGCCCCTGCTGGGGGGTGCCTCCCAGTTAGGCTGCTCGGGGGTCAGGAGTCAGGGACCCACTTGAGGAGGCAGTCTGCCCGTTCTCAGATCTCCAGCTGCGTGCTGGGAGAACCACTGCTCTCTTCAAAGCTGTCAGACAGGGACACTTAAGTCTGCAGAGGTTACTGCTGTCTTTTTGTTTGTCTGTGCCCTGCCCCCAGAGGTGGAGCCTACAGAGGCAGGCAGGCCTCCTTGAGCTGTGGTGGGCTCCACCCAGTTCGAGCTTCCCGGCTGCTTTGTTTACCTAAGCAAGCCTGGGCAATGGCGGGCGCCCCTCCCCCAGCCTCGTTGCCGCCTTGCAGTTTGATCTCAGACTGCTGTGCTAGCAATCAGCGAGATTCCGTGGGCGTAGGACCCTCTGAGCCAGGTGTGGGATATAGTCTCGTGGTGCGCCGTTTCTTAAGCCGGTCTGAAAAGCGCAATATTCGGGTGGGAGTGACCCGATTTTCCAGGTGCGTCCGTCACCCCTTTCTTTGACTCGGAAAGGGAACTCCCTGACCCCTTGCGCTTCCCAGGTGAGGCAATGCCTCGCCCTGCTTCGGCTCGCGCACGGTGCGCACACACACTGGCCTGCACCCACTGTCTGGCACTCCCTAGTGAGATGAACCCGGTACCTCAGATGGAAATGCAGAAATCACCGTCTTCTGCGTCGCTCACGCTGGGAGCTATAGACCGGAGCTGTTCCTATTCGGCCATCTTGGCTCCTCCGCAAGAACTTTTCCCAGGCTCCTTTTTAACAACCAGCTCTTATGGAAACTAATAGAGTGAGAACTCACTCACCCCCAAATCCCCACGGACATGGCATTAATCTATTCATGAAGTATCCACCCCCATGACCCAAACACATCCCGCTAGACCATACCTCCACATTGGGATCAAATTTCAACGTGAGGTTTGGGTAGACAAACATCCAAACCATAGCATCACCTTTGCATGTAATATCAATGATGCTTTATACTGATCGGGCACTTACTATGTGCTAATGTGCCAGGCACTGTTGTCAGTGATTCATATGTTTTAACTTGTTTAATCCTCACAATGCCACCTTGAGTTAACTACTATTATGAATCCCATTTTATAGATGGGAAACTCTTTATGGGATATAGTTGGGATGCACAGAGAGGTTAAGTCATTTATCCTGTGATTAACACAAAGGGTGAGGAACGGAATCATGGTTTGAACTCCGGTACACATTCTTTTACCTACGACATAAATAGAACACTGCAATTTTCCACTGAGCACAGCTCCTGGTGAATAGTGAGGTTGTTTATTTCAGGGACTTTTTATTTCTTTTAACTTTTCTGCTCTTGAATTGTCCACAAAATGACTTGTTTTAAGGAAGATCTGAGTTTAAAGATATTGTCAAAGATAAAAATGTGTCCTCTGTTTTTTTCTAAATATTTTCTAAAACTTGGCAAATAATTGAATATAAATCTACTTATATTAGGAATTAAGGGACATACAAAGGAATATCAGAAATGAAAACCTGCAATGCATTTTTAGCTAAAAAAAAAAATGCACCAATAGAGGCAAAGAGGAGAGATAACGCCTCTGATTAAGTCATGTTGTTCCCTAAATATGGAGGGGATTTGATAATTTAATGGCTTTTCACTGATGTATATCACTCAGAGAATATGAATGCTCAGAAGGTATTCCTGGCTCTAGGAACTGGAAGAAATATAAATCAGAGTAAGCTAAGAACACCACAGGAGTATAAAGCAAAGGAAACATTCAGATTACACAGCACACTCATTAAACAAAAGAAAGTCTCTCTTCTACTTCTATTGTCAAGTGGACAGACAGCTAGCAGAAAATGATCATTTCTATTCATATCCTTTATTCATTCTTTCCTAATTACATCTTCCAAACTGCTGTTTGGATTTAATTTGCAATTGAAATAGCACTACCACTTATGGACAAAGCTACAATGGTAAGAAAATAACACAGATTCCAACAGCCCTCTTAATTTTCATTTCTTTACCTCCCTGAAGGATTGTCTTAACTTTCTTGAAGACCGCCTCTCCCAAATAAATATGTTAAGTAACAAAGTGTCTTTATCAAAGCCGATGTGCAGAAGGGTATTTCCTAGGTTTTCTTCTAGGATTTTTATAGTTTGAGGTCTTACATTTAAATATTTAGTATATCTTGAGTTAATTTTTGTATATGGTGAAAGGTATGGGTCCAGTTTTATTTTTCTGCATATGCCTAGCCAATTATCCTAGCACTATTTATTGAATAAGGAGTCCTTTCCTCATTGCTTATTTTTTTTGACTTGGTTGAAGGTCAAATGGCTGTAGGCATTCCACTTTATTTCTGGGTTATTTATTTTGTTCCATTGGCCTACGTGTCTATTTTTGTACCTGTACCATGCTGTTTTGGTTATTTTAGCCTTATAGTATAGTCTGAAATTGGGTGATTTGATGCTTACAGCTTTGTTACTTTTGTTTAGGATGCTTTCGCTATTCTGGGTTTTTCAGTTCCATGTGAATTTTAAAACAGTTTTTTCTAATTCTATGAAAAATGGCATTGATATTTTGATAGAAATAGCATTGAATCTGTAAATTGCTTTGGGAAGTATGTCCATTTAAATGATGTTGATTTTTCCAATCCATGAGTATATTTTTCCGTTTATTTGTGTCATGTCTGCTTTCTTTCAAGAGTATTTTGTAGTTCTTCTTGCAGAGATCTTTCACCTCCTTGGTTAGATAAATACCTAGGTACTTCATTTTTTGTGGCTATTTTAAATGTGATTGTGTTCTTGATTTGGCTCTCATCTAGAACACTATTGGTGTATAGAAATGCCACCGATTTTTGTATGTTGATTTCGTATCTTGAAACGTTATTGAATTTACTTATCATTTGTAGGAGCCTTTTGGGAGAGACTTTAGGGTTTTCTAGGTATAGAATCATATCATCAATGAAGAGGGATAGTTTTACTTCTTCTTTTCCTATTTGGATGAATTTTATTTATTTATCTTGCCTGATTGCTCTGGCTAGGACTTCCAGTACTGTGTTGAACAGGAGTGGTGAGAGTGGGCATCCTTGTCTCATTTCAGTTCCCAAGTGGATGGTTATAGTTTTTGTCTGTTCTGTATGATATTTGCTGTAGGTTTGTCATAGATGGTACTTATTATTTTAATGTATGTTCCTTTGATGCCTACTCTGTTAAGGGTTTTTATCATGATGAGGTGTTGGATTTTATTAAAGTCTTTTTCTGCATGTATTAACATGATCATTTGATTTTTGTTTTTTATTCTGCTTGTGCCATGATTCACATTTATTGATTTGTGTATGTTGAATAAACCTTACATCCCAGGGGTAAAGCCTACTTTATTGTGGTGAATTAACTTTTTGATGTGTTCCTGGATTTGGTTTGCTGGCATTTTGTTGAAGATTTTTGCATCTATGTTCATCAGGGATATTAGCTTGAATTTTTCTTCTTTTTGTTGTTGTGTCTCTGCCAGAATAAGTTAAGGAGGAGCCCCTTCTTGATTTTTTGGAATAGTTTAAGAATTTATGGCAAAGTAAGTTGCATAAAGCTATTGCAAAAAAAAAAAAAAAAATTGCAACAAAACTAAAAATTAACAAGCGGGACCTAATTCATCTAAAGAGGTTCTGCACAGCAAAAGAAATTATCAACAGACTAAACAGACAACCTACAGAATGGGAGAAAATATTTGAAAACTATGCACTTGACAAAGGTCTGATATCCGGAATCTATAAGGAACTTAAACAAATTAACAAGCAAAAAACAAATAATCAAATTTTAAAAGTGGGCAACAGACATGAATAAACACTTCTCAAAAGAAGACATTCAAGTGGTCAAAAAATATATGAAAAAAATGCTCATCATCACTAATCATCAGAGAAAGGCAAATCAAATCCACAATGAAAGAACATCTCACAGC
This sequence comes from Homo sapiens, assembly GCF_000001405.40. Lineage (NCBI taxonomy): Eukaryota > Metazoa > Chordata > Mammalia > Primates > Hominidae > Homo > Homo sapiens. Next base: position 81,033 of record NW_003315940.1, read on the forward strand.
TGTCAGAATGGTGATTTTTAGAAAGTTAAACAAATAACATATGTTTGCCAGGCTACAGAGAAAAGGGAATGCTTACACACTGTTGGTAAGAATGCAAATTACTTCAGCCACTGTAGAAAGCAGTGTCAAGATTTCTCAAAGAACCTAAAACAGAACTACCATTCAACCCAGCAGTCCCATTACTGGGTGTATACCAAAAAGACATGTGCATTTGGATGTTTACTTCTGCACTATTTACAATAGCAAAGACCTGGAGTCAACTTACATGCCCATCAACAGTGGATCTGATAAAGAAAATGTGGTATGTGTGCACAATGGAACTCTAGGAAGCCATTAAAAAGAATAAAATCATGTCATTTGCAGCAACATGGAAGCTGCCTGAAGGCCATTATCCTAAATGAATTAATGCAGGAACAGACAACCAAATACCACATGATCTCACTTATAAGTGGGAGCTAAACATTGAGTACACATGGACATAAAGATGGGAACAATAGGCACTGGGGACTATTAGAGGGGAGAGGGAAAGAGGGACATGTGGGCTGAAAAACTACCTGTGGGATACTCTGCTCAATACCCGGGTGATGGGATTATCCATACACCAAACCTCAGCAACATGCAATTTACACATGTAATGAACCTTCACATATACCTCCTGAATCCAAAATGAAAGTTGAAAAGAAAAAAACAAAACAAAACTAAGGGTCTTTATGTTACTGATCACTTCTCAAGCCAAGTTTTCCAAATCTCACATGATTTTTATCACATTTTTTAAATTAAAGCATTGGTCCCAAAGTACTGTCCAATAAAGTCAACTTGTGGTGCTCTGGCCTGCCGACAGCCATTGTTATTAACCAAGGCTTTCAACCTTATAATTTCCCGATAAATATGTTACCAAGCACAGAATGACAAATAAATCAAATAGTGTCCATTATATTTAGAGTGCATCATTGAATGAATATGTGAGTTGCAGTCCTGATTTATTTTCTTGTGAATATAATTGTGCAAAAACATGCTAGTTATCCATTTTCCGAGCTTTCCCTTTGTCTGAAAACCAACTTGTTTGGCCTGTACATTTTTCCTACTCGTTATTGAAAGCCTGGTGAGGTTCTAATACTAATGCTAAGAAAATCTGCAGATTTGCTGGCTGTGGTTCCCCAGTTATTTTGCCGTAGCTAATACTGGGGCTGAAACAACTGTTCTCTCCTATACTGGGTCTGTAGCAGAGAGTATTGACTGTGTAAACAAGATAGTGGAAGCAAGGCAGCAAATTTAAAACACTATTACAAGGTCTGACATAAGGTGAACCATGAATAAATGTCAATAGTTATTATGATAACACATTGTTTTTGTTTGGTTGTATTTTATTTGTAAAGGATTGGCAGGAAAAAATAAAACCATAGACTATGGTGTCAGGAGATGATGGTTTGCCACTTTGATGCTTGATGTTATTGAACCACTTACCATCTCTGGCTTCAGTTTACTCTTCTGGTTCAAGTAACTCACACGAGTAAATTCTCATGAGCCCTAGGTACTTCAAGGAGGATTCCTCTCACAGTGTATAAATATATGCTATTATATAATTGCAAAGAGAGACCATTACAATTTTCCATCATCATCCTATGATCAGAGAGCACCCAACACTATTCTACCTTCTATAGCAAATATTAGGACCATATTATATACTCAGAGACATTCAATCCAAATGAACATGTGTCTAATCTTTTATTAAGAATTACTTGTTAGGCCGGGTGCTGTGGATCATGCCTGTAATCCCAGCACTTTGGGAGGCCAAGGCAGGTGGATCACAAGGTAGGGAGTTCAAGACCAGCCTGGCCAACATGGTGAAACCCCGTCTCTACTAAATATACAAAAATTAGCCAGGCATGGTGGTGGGCGCCTGTAGTCCCAGCTACTCGGGAGGCTGAGGCAGGAGAATTGCTTGAACCCAGGAGGCAGAAGTTGCAGTGAGCCGAGATCGCATCATTGCACTCCAGCCTGGGCAACAGAGCGAGACTCTGTCTCCAAAAAAAAAAAAAAAAGAATTACTTGTTAGAAAGTTACCAACCTCCTCCCATGCGCCCCCCCCCACCTTTTTTTTCAGATTGTCCTTCACCTCTCTCAAATCATAATTGGAGGGAATGGAGACTTAAATTTTTTTAATAACTTGCAGGTGTTTGACAATCTCCTAGAATATCTTCTAGGTTGGTTATTTTATGTAAAGGTCATGGTAATCCTCTATGGTAAATAATATCTCAATTTTATGGACAGAGAGATTAAGGCTCAAAGAGGTTTAGTGTCTAATGGAAACAGATGTTGAGTTTGAGTTTGCCTTACTCCAGGATATGTGTTCTGTCAGGTGTGCACTGCCAGCCATGATATTTCCTACAAAATTTATAAAAGACTTAATAGATCTCAAGATTCTTAACTGGAGCTGGGAAGAAGGGCGCTTTGTAGTGTGTAGATGTTGGGAGACACAGCGATTTGACTGAACAACAGTTTTACAATGATGGCTGAGGAATTGCGATACACATGCAAGTTGAAGGAGAAAGCACTAGGAGATTTTGGTTCTCTACAAAAAAACAGTGGAGAAGTGTAAACACTTACATGTTGGTCCACACCAACACATTAGAGCTATTCTCTTTAAAGAGCAATTACATTTTGCCTGTTTTGTTGAAAGTGAAGCACATGGACAAAAACCCAGATACAGGCCTTACTTGTTGAAGAAGATATCCCTTCAGGTTGATGTGACAGGAATCTACGTGTGTTCTGCATTGTTCACTAGTCCACTGAAAAATCGGTGATTTGCACCAATCTATATGACTTTGGTGACGAAACCCTGTTAGACACACAGAGCCTGCAAATTACAGAAAAGCAAACATCTACTCTAATCGAATAATGTGCTATTTAAAGTTAAATCAATAGGCCTACATTTCTAGTCTGAATAAAACATGAAACCTTAATAGAGTTATATCAGAAAGTCAGGTCTAATGGGCCCTGTAGTTCCAAGATCTAACTGTAAAGATGAAGCTGTAACAATTACAAGAATAAGAACAAAATAAAAGGAAGAAGGAAATGCACTTGACATTTGCTTCAGTATAGGCAATGTGCAAATAAAAATCAATTTACTTCAAGTAAACCTTCCTCTTTTGTAGTATAGATGCTGTGTGGTGTCAACATTTATTTCTTTCAATATTTATTCGCCTCAAGGAGAAGAGCAGAGTATTCAGCCTCAGGGTATGGCCTTCACAATTAGACATAAAAGTGAATTAATCCAGTTTTCTCATAATAAGTGGCAAGGTCAATCTAAGTCTGCTCTCAAAAGAAATGGGCAAAAAGGAATATATTCACTCTCAAAGCAAATTGCAAAAGATTGAGACCTTCATGGTGAGAGTGACAAGAAAAGGATCTATGTCAGGAGAGGTCACTTCTGTTTTTGCATTTTTTAATGAGTTTCATTTCTCCAGAGGAACTTCTCCATTAGGCAAGGATCAAAGCCAAGTGCAGACCTAGGTTTATATTTGTATAGCCTTACAACAAAAGAAGAAAATAATTTTTTCTTACCAGCATCAGTTCAAAACTTCTTAGGACAGAGAATTGGCTCAGTGTATTAGTCCATTCTTACCCTGATAAGAAGAACTGACTGAGACTGGGTAATTTATAAAGGAAATAGGTTTAATTGACTCACAGTTCTGCATGGCTGGGGAGGCCTCAGGAAACTTACCATCACGGCAGAAAGGGAAGCAAACATGTCCTTCTTCACATGGTGGCAGGAGAGAGAAGAATGAGAGCTGAGCGAAGGGGGAAGCCTCTTACAAAACTATCAGATCTTGTGAGAACTTACTCACTATCATGAGAATAGCACGGGGGAAACCACCCCCATGATTCAGTTACCTCCCACTGGGTCTCCTCCATGACACATGGGGATTACGGGAACTACAATTCAAGATGAAATTTGGGTGGGGACAGAGCCAAACCTTATCACTCAGCCTCAGTTGCCAACCCTGGCCTAATGGCTACAGAGGGCAAAGGGGGCTGTACTGAAGCCGTTGGCGTGTTCTGTTGGGTCCTGTGCCCACTCCTGTGTATAACCATCCCTGACTAGAAGTAAACAAGAGGATTGCCATGCAGTCACAAGAAAAAAAAAAAAGAGAGATCAGTTCTGCAAAGGCTTTTGGTTCAGGAAAGCAAGGTAAAGACTAAATTGTTTCCAAACTTATCCATTGAGTCTGGGATATCTTAAAAAACAGGCCTTTTTTTTTTTTTTTTTTTTTTTTTTTTTTTAAAGTATACTTAGGCCTTCTTTCAGAATTTAGGTGTGAAAGAAAAGAAAATTAGCACAGGTTGTTACTAAACTCTATTTTGGTGACTTGGGCAAGGGTTGAGCTTGTCATTGATGTTTATATAAGAGTGAATCAGCTAGTTAACAAACAACCAAAAAAAGATAGGAAATGGGTGAAGATGTGAGTTTGGAAGTACACATAGAAGCTAAATTGTGACGGTCACTCTAGCTAAGCCAAGGCGTTTGGACTGTAGCCTATAGTCACTAAAAAAACTACTGGAGGATTTTAATTAGGAGAGAATTTTAAGAGAATTCTTGAAAATAAATGAAATTTTTGGCAGGATGTGGATTAGCAAGGTGATAATTATTTTAGAAGGTGCTGAGATCAGCTTCTTAAAAAATTCCAATACTTGGGTGATTGCCTGTATATATGTATGTATATATGTATATATATATGTGTGTGTGTGTGTATATATATATATATATACACACACACATATATATACATATATATACATATTTATATGAAAACCATAAAGCTATCATATACAACATCCACTTTCATAATGAGTTCTCCAGAGTTTTGTTAAATAGAAAAGAGCAATGCCAATTTAAAGGAAATTCTTAAAAGAATTAAGATAAAAGGTGATATAAGAACATGGCAAAAACTTTTGCTACAATACACAAATGGCTAAGGTTTAGAAGTCACCAAAGTAATTTTATGAAATGATTTTAAAATGTGATAGCTTATATCAAAGGTGGTATTTCCCTTTTATCTTAATTATAACTATTATTGAGATAAAGGAGAGATCAAAGAAGCAAAGCGGTTGAGATTTTAGCGCAAGGCAGGAATCTTGGGGGTTAGGCGTGAAATCAAGTTTTGGACTGCAGTAGACTCTATACAGTTGCAGGATGATGGCATTTCCTGGGTGAGTTTCCTTTGGCTCTTTTTGGAACAGCTAACTGTGTTCTTGCTGTCTCAAGGGAGTGGCACTAGGATGACACACAGAATCTGTGTGCGTAAAATCCAGGCCAGGTACCAGCCCCTGGCTTCCAAAGAACATTCTGCCCCTGTGTACTCTTCTAGGCCTGGAAGACACCTAGTCTGCCTACCTGCTGTGGCGTGTAATGGGGCAAATGGCCTCTTGTGGCAGGGGACACTGGGCGTAGGCGTCCATTTATTAAAAATGATTGCTATGATTTTGAGTTGTACTTCTCTGTGAGAAAGGGGAGAATCAATAATCAATGCCATTTGTAAAGGACAAAAGGAGGCTGTGATCTGGTTAAAATAAATCTGGTGTGCACAGGGTGTTGGTGACTGGCACTTAGGGCATAAGATTTGTGTATCACCACCTCCATTAGAGCTATTGTCAGATGCTAAGAGGAAATGCTGTATTCCTAGGGCTTCTACTTCATCATCCATAAAATAGATATCCTCAAATCAGTGTCATCTTCAACATGATTAATGGATCATTCCTGTGATGTGTCAAAAAGCCTTGCAAATGGACACATTGTGTGCTTTGAAGAAACAAATCTCTGAAATCATTGTTTCCTCAAACATGGCTAGTGGGACTCTGTAGGTTTATAAAATGTTTCTGGTAGTAAAGGGGCAATTTTTAAAATTATATCAATACTTCTATATTTATTTGAATGTTTACTAGAAAATAATATGACATGAAGACAATGCAAAATATGCTATTATTTGAATTATAGGTGTGTCCATGTGCACAGTATTTTAGTAAGTGAACATTGCCTTCTGCCACAGTGGTTGGAAGAAAGATCAGATCACATTAATCACCAATAGGGTTTCTCAGTTTCTAATAAAGCTGATATCCTGTGTTCCTTTTAGTGACACTAAAAAATTTAAGTAATTTTTGGAATGTGGACATGGCAGAAATTGTGAAAGTACCACACGACTAACTGAAGTTCGGTAAAATTTGACCTAAGAGATGCCATTGTTAAAATGTTTTTTATATTAGAAGATAATTGCTTTATTTACACATGCATTTATTCAACTAACACTGAATTTGTTATTGGTTAGTTATTAGGCATACTCACATAATTAAGACATGATTTATGACCTTGAATGGCTCATGCTGTATTATGGGAGACATAATACAGTTTCAAAAACTCTTCTGTTGATATAGGAATGAAGTATAATGGAAAATGTAGGAATTAAGAACAAAGATTCAGGACAGACATACAGAGGAGGTGCTATTTGAGTAGGGGTTCACCCAGCAAACAAGAGCAAGGACAGTATGTCAGGTTGTTGGACTCATATCAAAAGTTTGGAGAAATGTGGGAACGTGATACGTGATTCATCTCTTCTTGTTCATTTGTGCAGGGGAAGGGTCTTTTTGATAAGGTGCATTCTGGGGAGAAGAAGTGGCAGTGTGTGAGACTATAAATGTAAGTAGAGTCTTCAAATACTTTGAAACATGTGTTGGAATTTGGACTTAATTTAGGAGCCCAGAATGGCAGAGACAAGATGTGCATGTCACCACCCACCTCATGTGCTCATGGAAGACATCACTAATCAATGCCAGCACTCCTTCCAGCTAGGGCCCATTTCTTCTGCAGACAGAAATCTGAGGCTGCCTCTCTGATTGATTGGAAGTGATAACTGAGATGAAACCTATTTCTAACTTTTGGCAGAGCCTATGGAGCAAGAAAGAGCTTTTAATAAGGATTAGAACATGATGCAAAACAGGACAACAGCTGTATCCTAAAAATCTATATATTTAAAACATTTAAACAAATAAAAAGCAATACAGACCAACTTCAGTGCCTTTCCAGTGGAATCAAAGTCACATAATCAAGATTTTCTTTGTTTGTTTTAAACATGTTTAATTAGTTACTAATATTGAAAAGTTACGAGATTCAAAATTTGTTGTTTTTCTTAAACAATTTGAAAATTCAAATACTGTGTCAGTGTTCCCACCTGGCAATGCCCACATCCATCTGATCAGTAGCTGTGGATTTGGCTGGACGGGGTTCAGTCCCATTCACCACGGTTGATGGCATTCCCCATCATTTACCGTGAAGCTGCTTCCGTGATTCATGCTACCTGCCTGGATGCTGGAGGGATTTTATTTTCACCTCCTGCTTATCTATCCTAACAGATATTCCTAGGTAGAGGTTCTGATAAAAATCATGAATAAATGACATTTTTGTAAATTGAATGATGTTATACATGTATCAGACAAAACTATGGGATTTCTTTTCTCATGAAAATCCAGGGTTTCCCATATCAGAACTTTTCTGAATTAAGGAATTCTTAAGTTTTGTTATGGGGGGGTAACTTCTCAGTCTGTGCAGAACAGGACATTTTCAGAGTCAGGGATTCTACTCAGTATTTCTCACAATAAAAGATGTTGAACATGGGATCTTATAATAAGGTTTTCAATTCCTTTCCACAAAAAGAGCCTTACGATTTCCAACGCTGGTTCTGATCATGGAGGTGAGATACTGTAATTAAACACTCTTCAATCAGAAATATGGGGGGAAGTGAATTCCTTGGGAGTGAACTTGGAGGTGAACAAGAGTTAGAAATGTCCTCAAACGAAGAAGTGTTGAGAGTATTACTGTGGGTTGTAGGAAGGATAAAGTCCATGAAATGGAGAATGAAAATCTGGAAAGGAGAGGAAGGTGATGGGTAGAGCTTCTGTGATACATTTTATTTCAGTGTTTTCATTAACACAAAACTTTTCTAACTTATAGGTGAGTATGTCCGCTACTGACAAGATCAAGATTTGAGTCCTGGCATCTGGTCCAGGCTGTCATTGCCGCTGACTTCTCCCCGTGCAGGGTTCTGGGGAGGGGTGAGCGGTCTCTCTAATGGGATGTCCACAGTCTCTCGACCGTACCTGAGGCAGTGGCATCTGGGCTTGGCATTGTGTCAGCATCTGCATTTTCACTGTAACAAGAAAATGGTCGACTATTCCATTTTCAGCTGTTCTTGAAACTCCTGTTATCATTTTCTCTTTACAATCCTGGACAGAGTAATGAGGTTTTAAATCCTTCCAACATGCTCTCAAAGGCAGTCACCAGCTCTGTTAGTGTGACCTTTTCAATACTGCATGATTTACGTGGCTGGCCATTTGTCTCTCCTTTTAAATAACAGCAAAGAGGGGGAGGAGGGAGTCAGAGGGGCATGTTACAGCAGATATGAAAGGCTCACGGATGCCTTTTAGCTCCCACCAACAGACTTGGTGTTGGAATGACTGGACTAGCTTTGATCTGGCTGTTAGTTGTTTCCTGAAAACCCATATAAATGTGAAAATGGAAAAACATACACACCCTTGCTTCTATATTGCCTTATTAACCTCAGCATTTTCTCATTATTTATCCCCTTTCTCTAAGAGAGATGTTGACTTCTTTCTCAGATAGCTTCTGAAAATATTCTTAGGAGACACTGAATCTCCAAGTAATTTTTTATTTTTTGGAGACAGGGTCTTGCAATGTTGCCCAGTCTGGAGTGCAGTGGTGTGATCTCTGCAAACTGCACCCTTTGCTTCCTGGGCTCAAGTAATCTCCCCACCCTAGCCTCCCAAGTAGCTGGGACTACAGGCATGCACCAGCACATCTGGCTAATTTTTTTTTTTTTTTTCAGAGACAGGTTCTCACGATGTTGCCCAGGCTGATCTCAAACTCCTGGGCTCAAGGGATCCTCCCACCTTGGCCTCCCAAGTGTGCTACAATTACAGAAGTGAGCCACTGTGCCTAGCCTACCAAGCAGTTTTTAAACCACTTTATTAATATATGATTGGACCTATAAAAAGCTGTACATATTTAGTGTATACAACAGGATGAGTTTGGAGATAAACTGATCACCATTGATGAAAGCACCACCACAGTCAAGACCATAAATCTACCCATTTCCTCCAAAGGTGTCATCCTGCTCTCTTTATTGCATTTATTTTTGTTATAACACACTTAAAAATTCTAGAGCCTATTGATTCAATGATTAATATTCTCAGGGGCTCTGCAATACTCAACACAATGAATTAACAACTTGCTTCTGATAGAACTATTTTGGTATTGAAGGAATTCTTTAATTTTAATTATTTTAATCTTTTTTTTTTTTTTTTTTTTTAACAAGGTCTTGCTCTGACACCCAGGCTGGTGTTCAGTGGTGTGATCACAGCTCACTACCGCCTCCACCTCCTCAAACTCAATCAATCCTCCTGCCTCGGCCTTCTGATGTTTATCTTTCTTTAATAAAAATGGGATCCTTTTAAATCTCAGGAAGCTTCAGCCAATTTAGATGACCCATAGATTTTAGTACCTGCACCACTCCTGTAATTATATTAATTTACTGTCTTATCGTACTCTCCAATTCTTCCACATATCTCTATCGTAAACACTTGAAGGAGAAGAGCCTGATGTTTGCGGTTCTTCAGTGCCTGGGCAACTGTCCTGGTCCAGGTGAGACAGCTTTGCATAGAGATCACAAAACTGTATGCCTGCAGGACCTAGGCAGGTAGCATGTGTGGGTGGGAAGGATTGTTTTGTTTTGTTTTTGTATGGTAAAGTTATAGACATATTGTTTACTTTTATAAAGTGCTATGTTGACCCTATGTTTTTCTTCTAAACGTATTCCCGTATGTTCCCTTTCATGTCCCCCCTTGAGGGAGGTGCGGACAGGAAGCAAGTATGAAGATAAACCACAGCTGACAGTCAGTCAGCTCAGTGGTGGAGCCACACTTGGGCCAGTGGCCCTGATGTGTAAGACATCGTTACTCAGTTCCAGCCAGCTGCTGCCATGCGGGGTTGCTGATTTACTGTTTCCACTTACTCTATTTTTTTAAAAAGAGACTAACATTCTCAATTTTTAAGTGAAAGCTGCCAATTAACAAAATTATTGACTTGTACTCTTTTTTTTTTTTTTTTTTTATTATACTCTAAGTTTTAGGGTACATGTGCACATTGTGCAGGTTAGTTACATATGTATACATGTGCCATGCTGGTGCGCTGCACCCACTAATGTGTCATCTAGCATTAGGTATATCTCCCAATGCTATCCCTCCCCCCTCCCCCGACCCCACCACAGTCCCCAGAGTGTGATATTCCCCTTCCTGTGTCCATGTGATCTCATTGTTCAATTCCCACCTATGAGTGAGAATATGCGGTGTTTGGTTTTTTGTTCTTGCGATAGTTTACTGAGAATGATGGTTTCCAATTTCATCCATGTCCCTACAAAGGATATGAACTCATCATTTTTTATGGCTGCATAGTATTCCATGGTGTATATGTGCCACATTTTCTTAATCCAGTCTATCATTGTTGGACATTTGGGTTGGTTCCAAGTCTTTGCTATTGTGAATAGTGCCGCAATAAACATACGTGTGCATGTGTCTTTATAGCAGCATGATTTATAGTCCTTTGGGTATATACCCAGTAATGGGATGGCTGGGTCAAATGGTATTTCTAGTTCTAGATCCCTGAGGAATCGCCACACTGACTTCCACAATGGTTGAACTAGTTTACAGTCCCACCAACAGTGTGAAAGTGTTCCTATTTCTCCACATCCTCTCCAGCACCTGTTGTTTCCTGACTTTTTAATGATTGCCATTCTAACTGGTGTGAGATGATATCTCATGGTGGTTTTGATTTGCATTTCTCTGATGGCCAGTGATGATGAGCATTTCTTCATGTGTTTTTTGGCTGCATAAATGTCTTCTTTTGAGAAGTGTCTGTTCATGTCCTTTGCCCACTTTTTGATGGGGTTGTTTGTTTTTTTCTTGTAAATTTGTTTGAGTTCATTGTAGATTCTGGATATTAGCCCTTTGTCAGATGAGTAGGTTGCGAAAATTTTCTCCCATGTTGTAGGTTGCCTGTTCACTCTGATGGTAGTTTCTTTTGCTGTGCAGAAGCTCTTTAGTTTAATTAGATCCCATTTGTCAATTTTGGCTTTTGTTGCCATTGCTTTTGGTGTTTTGGACATGAAGTCCTTGCCCACGCCTATGTCCTGAATGGTAATGCCTAGGTTTTCTTCTAGGGTTTTTATGGTTTTAGGTCTAACGTTTAAATCTTTAATCCATCTTGAATTGATTTTTGTATAAGGTGTAAGGAAGGGATCCAGTTTCAGCTTTCTACATATGGCTAGCCAGTTTTCCCAGCACCATTTATTAAATAGGGAATCCTTTCCCCATTGCTTGTTTTTCTCAGGTTTGTCAAAGATCAGATAGTTGTAGATATGCGGCATTATTTCTGAGGGCTCTGTTCTGTTCCATTGATCTATATCTCTGTTTTGGTACCAGTACCATGCTGTTTTGGTTACTGTAGCCTTGTAGTATAGTTTGAAGTCAGGTAGTGTGATGCCTCCAGCTTTGTTCTTTTGGCTTAGGATTGACTTGGCAATGCGGGCTCTTTTTTGGTTCCATATGAACTTTAAAGTAGTTTTTTCCAATTCTGTGAAGAAAGTCATTGGTAGCTTGATGGGGATGGCATTGAATCTGTAAATTACCTTGGGCAGTATGGCCATTTTCACGATATTGATTCTTCCTACCCATGAGCATGGAATGTTCTTCCATTTGTTTGTGTCCTCTTTTATTTCCTTGAGCAGTGGTTTGTAGTTGTCCTTGAAGAGGTCCTTCACATCCCTTGTAAGTTGGATTCCTAGGTATTTTATTCTCTTTGAAGCAATTGTGAATGGGAGTTCACCCATGATTTGGCTCTCTGTTTGTCTGTTGTTGGTGTATAAGAATGCTTGTGATTTTTGTACATTGATTTTGTATCCTGAGACTTTGCTGAAGTTGCTTATCAGCTTAAGGAGATTTTGGGCTGAGACGATGGGGTTTTCTAGATAAACAATCATGTCGTCTGCAAACAGGGTCAATTTGACTTCCTCTTTTCCTAATTGAATACCCTTTATTTCCTTCTCCTGCCTGATTGCCCTGGCCAGAACTTCCAACACTATGTTGAATAGGAGCGGTGAGAGAGGGCATCCCTGTCTTGTGCCAGTTTTCAAAGGGAATACTTCCAGTTTTTGCCCATTCAGTATGATATTGGCTGTGGGTTTGTCATAGATAGCTCTTATTATTTTGAAATACGTCCCATCAATACCTAATTTATTGAGAGTTTTTAGCATGAAGCGTTGTTGAATTTTGTCAAAGGCTTTTTCTGCATCTATTGAGATAATCATGTGGTTTTTGTCTTTGGCTCTGTTTATATGCTGGATTACATTTATTGATTTGCGTATATTGAACCAGCCTTGCATCCCAGGGATGAAGCCCACTTGATCATGGTGGATAAGCTTTTTGATGTGCTGCTGGATTCGGTTTGCCAGTATTTTATTGAGGATTTTTGCATCAATGTTCATCAAGGATATTGGTCTAAAATTCTCCTTTTTGGTTGTGTCTCTGCCCAGCTTTGGTATCAGAATGATGCTGGCCTCATAAAATGAGTTAGGGAGGATTCCCTCTTTTTCTATTGATTGGAATAGTTTCAAAAGGAATGGTACCAGTTCCTCCTTGTACCTCTGGTAGAATTCGGCTGTGAATCCATCTGGTCCTGGACTCTTTTTGGTTGGTAAACTATTGATTATTGCCACAATTTCAGAGCCTGTTATTGGTCGATTCAGAGATTCAACTTCTTCCTGGTTTAGTCTTGGGAGAGTGTATGTGTCGAGGAATGTATCCATTTCTTCTAGATTTTCTAGTTTATTTGCATAGAGGTGTTTGTAGTATTCTCTGATGGTAGTTTGTATTTCTGTGGGATCGGTGGTGATATCCCCTTTATCATTTTTTATTGTGTCTATTTGATTCTTCTCTCTTTTTTTCTTTATTAGTCTTGCTAGCGGTCTATCAATTTTGTTGATCCTTTCAAAAAACCAGCTCCTGGATTCATTGATTTTTTGAAGGGTTTTTTGTGTCTCTATTTCCTTCAGTTCTGCTCTGATTTTAGTTATTTCTTGCCTTCTGCTAGCTTTTGAATGTGTTTGCTCTTGCTTTTCTAGTTCTTTTAATTGTGATGTTAGGGTGTCAATTTTGGATCTTTTCTGCTTTCTCTTGTAGGCATTTAGTGCTATAAATTTCCCTCTACACACTGCTTTGAATGCGTCCCAGAGATTCTGGTATGTGGTGTCTTTGTTCTCGTTGGTTTCAAAGAACATCTTTATTTCTGCCTTCATTTCGTTATGTACCCAGTAGTCATTCAGGAGCAGGTTGTTCAGTTTCCATGTAGTTGAGCGGCTTTGAGTGAGATTTTTAATCCTGAGTTCTAGTTTGATTGCACTGTGGTCTGAGAGATAGTTTGTTATAATTTCTGTTCTTTTACATTTGCTGAGGAGAGCTTTACTTCCCAGTATGTGGTCAATTTTGGAATAGGTGTGGTGTGGTGCTGAAAAAAATGTATATTCTGTTGATTTGGGGTGGAGAGTTCTGTAGATGTCTATTAGGTCTGCTTGGTGCAGAGCTGAGTTCAATTCCTGGGTATCCTTGTTGACTTTCTGTCTCGTTGATCTGTCTAATGTTGACAGTGGGGTGTTAAAGTCTCCCATTATTAATGTGTGGGAGTCTAAGTCTCTTTGTAGGTCACTGAGGACTTGCTTTATGAATCTGGGTGCTCCTGTATTGGGTGCATAAATATTTAGGATAGTTAGCTCCTCTTGTTGAATTGATCCCTTTACCATTATGTAATGGCCTTCTTTGTCTCTTTTGATCTTTGTTGGTTTAAAGTCTGTTTTATCAGAGACTAGGATTGCAACCCCTGCCTTTTTTTGTTTTCCATTGGCTTGGTAGATCTTCCTCCATCCTTTTATTTTGAGCCTATGTGTGTCTCTGCACGTGAGATGGGTTTCCTGAATACAGCACACTGATGGGTCTTGACTCTTTATCCAACTTGCCAGTCTGTGTCTTTTAATTGCAGAATTTAGTCCATTTATATTTAAAGTTAATATTGTTATGTGTGAATTTGATCCTGTCATTATGATGTTAGCTGGTGATTTTGCTCATTAGTTGATGCAGTTTCTTCCTAGTCTCTATGGTCTTTACATTTTGGCATGATTTTGCAGCGGCTGGTACCGGTTGTTCCTTTCCATGTTTAGCGCTTCCTTCAGGAGCTCTTTTAGGGCAGGCCTGGTGGTGACAAAATCTCTCAGCATTTGCTTGTCTATAAAGTATTTTATTTCTCCTTCATTTATGAAGCTTAGTTTGGCTGGATATGAAATTCTGGTTTGAAAATTCTTTTCTTTAAGAATGTTGAATATTGGCCCCCACTCTCTTCTGGCTTGTAGGGTTTCTGCCGAGAGATCCGCTGTTAGTCTGATGGGCTTTCCTTTGAGGGTAACCCGACCTTTCTCTCTGGCTGCCCTTAACATTTTTTCCTTCATTTCCACTTTGGTGAATCTGACAATTATGTGTCTTGGAGTTGCTCTTCTCGAGGAGTATCTTTGTGGCGTTCTCTGTATTTCCTGAATCTGAACGTTGGCCTGCCTTGCTAGATTGGGGAAGTTCTCCTGGATATTATCCTGCAGAGTGTTTTCCAACTTGGTTCCATTCTCCACATCACTTTCAGGTACACCAATCAGACGTAGATTTGGTCTTTTCACATAGTCCCATATTTCTTGGAGGCTTTGCTCATTTCTTTTTATTCTTTTTTCTCTAAACTTCCCTTCTCGCTTCATTTCATTCATTTCATCTTCCATTGCTGATACCCTTTCTTCCAGTTGATCGCATCGGCTCCTGAGGCTTCTGCATTCTTCACGTAGTTCTCGAGCCTTGGTTTTCAGCTCTATCAGCTCCTTTAAGCACTTCTCTGTATTGGTTATTCTAGTTATACATTCTTCTAAATTTTTTTCAAAGTTTTCAACTTCTTTGCCTTTGGTTTGAATGTCCTCCCGTAGCTCAGAGTAATTTGATCGTCTGAAGCCTTCTTCTCTCAGCTCGTCAAAATCATTCTCCATCCAGCTTTGTTCTGTTGCTGGTGAGGAACTGCGTTCCTTTGGAGGAGGAGAGGCGCTCTGCGTTTTAGAGTTTCCAGTTTTTCTGTTCTGTTTTATCCCCATCGTTGTGGTTTTATCTACTTTTGGTCTTTGATGATGGTGATGTACAGATGGGTTTTCAGTGTAGATGTCCTTTCTGGTTGTTAGTTTTCCTTCTAACAGACAGGACCCTCAGCTGCAGGTCTGTTGGAATACCCTGCCGTGTGAGGTGTCAGTGTGCCCCTGCTGGGGGGTGCCTCCCAGTTAGGCTGCTCGGGGGTCAGGGGTCAGGGACCCACTTGAGGAGGCAGTCTGCCCGTTCTCAGATCTCCAGCTGCGTGCTGGGAGAACCACTGCTCTCTTCAAAGCTGTCAGACAGGGACACTTAAGTCTGCAGAGGTTACTGCTGTCTTTTTGTTTGTCTGTGCCCTGCCCCCAGAGGTGGAGCCTACAGAGGCAGGCAGGCCTCCTTGAGCTGTGGTGGGCTCCACCCAGTTCGAGCTTCCCGGCTGCTTTGTTTACCTAAGCAAGCCTGGGCAATGGCGGGCGCCCCTCCCCCAGCCTCGTTGCCACCTTGCAGTTTGATCTCAGACTGCTGTGCTAGCAATCAGCGAGATTCTGTGGGCGTAGGACCCTCTGAGCCAGGTGTGGGATATAGTCTCGTGGTGCGCCGTTTCTTAAGCCGGTCTGAAAAGCGCAATATTCGGGTGGGAGTGACCCGATTTTCCAGGTGCGTCCGTCACCCCTTTCTTTGACTCGGAAAGGGAACTCCCTGACCCCTTGCGCTTCCCAGGTGAGGCAATGCCTCGCCCTGCTTCGGCTCGCGCACGGTGCGCACACACACTGGCCTGCGCCCACTGTCTGGCACTCCCTAGTGAGATGAACCCGGTACCTCAGATGGAAATGCAGAAATCACCCGTCTTCTGCGTCGCTCACGCTGGGAGCTGTAGACCGGAGCTGTTCCTATTCGGCCATCTTGGCTCCTCCCCCCGACTTGTACTCTTTTGAATTTCCCAGAGTAAACAAAATAAAATTCCAGGCAAGAAAAATCCATGGACTCACCTATTAGCAACTTCCGGTGAAATAAATGACTCAACTTAATATTAAATATCTCTACACTTCTGTGATTATGGAAGGATAGATTTGCATTTTGAACAGATTTCACAGTTACTTTATTTTTTAGCTTAAAATGTATCAAGAGTTAATTCATTAAGCATGTATTTCATATATTTGTCTAATGTATAGAAGGCATATTGACGACTATATTCAAGTATGTGTTTTAAGACATATATATGTACATTTGCTTATATATGTGTATATATACCTATATTTTATTATATATTCCATTTTAATGTAGAATTGGAGTTATATTTGGTTCTGAGGAATATATATTAATTAGATAGTTTAATTAGGTTTGGTGAGGATCTAAAATGGAAGGTGTATGATCTATTATTCAAGATAGATTCTATACTCCTTGCTGATTTACTTTTTCTCATTAACAGTTGTCATCGCCACATTTATTTAGCTGATTTGTTATCTGTCTTCCCCACTGGAACATAGGCACCACGAGGCAGGTTCTCTCGGCATCATTCACTCATGTCTCCAGTGCTCAGAACAGAATCTGTCACAATCTAGGAACTCATTAAATGATGGTTGAATAATCGAATGAAAGATTTTGTTTTTGGAGACCATTTTTTAGAAAGCCAAGGAAGGATAATTACTGCTGTCTTGCACTGATCACATATCACCTTGGTCCGTTTAATTCATATGTCTGTAGTAACAAAGACAATTCTTGGTGTACTTATCCCAGCTTGGGGATAAGGCAGGCAGGGCTGAATGCCAAGGGCCACACAGCCCAATCCCCTGTGTTGAGGTGGGCTGGACTCAGGCGTCTGCACCGTGCTTAGGATACAAAGCACTCACTTTTGGGATGCCCCCAGCCTCAAGAGGGTCAAGACGAAGTTTCCTGGTGACAAGGAGAATGAGGTCTTCCAGGTCAGGATATGTTATCACCACAGGTGGACTCATTGATGCCAGTTCATTTCACTTTATATTTGACAGACATTACTGAGCATCTACGTTATTCCAGGATCTGTGAAAGTGTGTAATAGAAATAAAACATTTCCATTCACATCTTGTGATAAATTTTCTGATCAGTTACCTAGAGTCTAGTCTTTGGGGAGGAAGCAGGGGCAATAACTACTCTCAAAAATATGTTAGGGGAGTAAGTAGATAGTTAAACAAATAAAGGTAACATAGTGGGAAAAAAGCTATAATAGAGAGTATCACAGGCACACAAATGAGGAAGTGATCCTGCTATTTGAAAGTTGGACAAAACTTCACAGGAGAAAACATTGAATTGCTTCTTTTTTTAAAATGGTCCATATTTATAATAACATGACCTAGAATCCCACCATGCAGAAATAACCACTTTTAACATCAGGAAGCAATATTTTTACACTTCCTTTGCATATATAGTGTGTAGAACATATTACTTGCTTCTCTTTTTACTTAATGGTATGCACAAACATATTTCTGTGGCTTAATTTTTTATGATATCCCATTATTTGTAATTTAAGCAATTGCTGTCATCATTTCCCAGTGAGCTACATATTTAGATTAATTTTAGTTTTATTTTTTCCCCACTGAAAACAATGCTATCATAAGTATCCCTCTTGCTAAATGTTGTATAAATCCATTTGTTTTGCTAGGCTACATTCTTTGTTTCTCGAGATGTTTTTGTTACACTCTTTTTGAAAGTGCAGAAATTTTAAGGATAAAACTTGATAAATTATCTCAATATTAACAGGCTTACACACACACCTCTGAAATCAAGACTTAGAACATTACCAGCATGTCAGAGGTTACCCTGTGCCCCTCTCAATTGTACTGACTTTCTTCTTTTCTGAAGGAACTCTTAAGCTTAATTTTTGGATGTGAAGTTATGTTTAAAAGGAAGTTCATTTATTAGGCTTTTGAAACATACTGCCAAATTTTCCTCCAAAAAAGCTTTACCTGTCTATCCTATTTCTGTTCACTTTCTTAAACCTCTATTGTTATAGTAAATACATATATGTATTGTGAATATATATTGTAAATATAACTGTATTGTGAATAGATAGTAAATATATGTATACCTTTTGTAAATATTTATCTATTATAAATATGTATATACAGCATTGTCATTTTGATAAATTGCATCTCAATGATGTCTACTGTGTACTCCTTTGACTACTAATGAGATTAAATGGTTTTCCATATGATTTTTTTTATTATTATACTTTAAGTTCTAGGGTACATGTGCACAACATGCAGGTTTGTTACATACATATACATGTGCCGTGTTGGTTTGCTGCACCCATTAACTCGTCATTTACATTAGGTATTTCTCCTAATGCTATTCCTCTCCCATCCCCCCACCCCACGATAGGCCCCAGTGTGTGATGTTCCCTACCCTATGTCCAAGGTTCTCATTTTCAATTCCCACCTATGAGTGAGAACATGCAGTGTTTGTTTCTCTGTCCTTGTGATAGTTTGCTCAGAATGATGGTTTCCAGCTTCATCCATGTTGCTACAAAGGACATGAACTCATCCTTTTTTATGGCTGCATAGTATTCCATGGTGTATATGTGCCACATTTTCTTAATCCAGTCTATCATAGATGGACATTTGGGTTGGTTCCAAGTCTTTGCTATTGTGAATAGTGCCACATTAAACATACGTGTGCATATGTCTTTATAGTAGCATGATTTATAATCCTTTGGCTATCTACCCAGTAAAGGGATCGCTGGGTCAAATGGTATTTCTAGTTCTAGATCCTTGAGTAATCACCACACTGTCTTCCTCAGTGGTTGAACTAATTTACACTCCCACCAACAGTGTAAAAGCATTCCTATTTCTCCACATCCTCTCCAGCACCTGTTGTTTCCTGACTTTTTAATGATCACCATTCTAACTGGTGTGAGATGGTATCTCGTTGTGGTTTTGATTTGCATTTCTCTGATGACCAGTGACGATTAGCATTTTTTCTTTTGTCTGTTGGCTGCATAAATGTCTTCTTTTGAGAAGTGTCTGTTCATATCCTTTGCCCACTTGTTGATGGGATTGCTTGTTTTTTTCTTGTAAATTTGTTTAAGTTCTTTGTAGATTCTGGATATTAGCCCTTTGTCAGATGAGTAGATTGCAAAAATTTTCTCCCATTCTGTAGGTTCTCTGTTCACTCTAATGATAGTTTCTTTGCTGTGCAGAAGCTCTTTAGTTTAATTAGATCCCATTTGTCTATTTTGGCTTCTGTTGTCATTGCTTTTGGTGTTTTAGTCATGAAGTCCTTGCCCATGCCTATGTCCTGAATGGTATTGCCTAGGTTTTCTTCTAGGGTTTTTATGGTTTTAGGTCTAACATTTAAGTCTTTAATCCCTCTTGAATTAATTTTTGTATAAGGTGTAAGGAAGGGATCCAGTTTCAGCTTTCTACATATGGCTAGCCAGTTTTCCCAGCACCATTTATTAAATAGGGAATCCTTTCCCCATTTCTTGTTTTTGTCAGGTTTGTCAAAGATCAGATGGTTGTAGATGTGTGGTGTTATTTCTGAGGCCTCTGTTCTGTTCCACTGGTCTGTATCTCTGTTTTGGTAGCAGTACCAGTACATGCTGTTTTGGTTACTGTAGCCTTGTAGTATAGTTTGAAGTCAGGTAGCGTGATGCCTCCAGCTTTGTTCTTTTTGCTTAGCATTGTCTTGGCAATGCAGACTCTTTTATGGTTCCATATGAACTTTAAAGTAGTGTTTTCCAATTCTGTGAAGAAAGTCATTGGTAGCTTGATGGGGATGGCATTGAATCTATAAGTTACCTTGGGCAGTGTGGCCATTTTCACAATATTGATTCTTCCTATCCATGAGCTTGGAATGTTCTTCTATTTGTTTGTGTCCTCTTTTATTTCATTGAGCAGTGGTTTGTAGTTCTCCTTAAAGAGTTCCTTCACATCCCTTGTAAGTTGGATTCCTAGGTATTAGGTATTTTACTCTCTTTGTAGCAATTGTGAATGGGAGTTCACTCATGATTTGAAACTCTGTTTGTCTGTTATTGGTGTAAAAGAATGCTTGTGATTTTTGCACATTGATTTTATATCCTGAGGCTTTGCTGAAGTTGCTTATCACCTTAAGGAGATTTTTGGCTGAGACGATGGGGTTTTCTAAATATACAATCATGTCGTTTGCAAACAGGGAAAATTTGACTTCCTCTTTTCCTAATTGTATACCCTTTATTTCTTTCTGTTGCCTGATTGCCCTGGCCAGAACTTCCAACAGTATGTTGAATAGGAGTGGTGAGAGAGGGCATCCCTGTTTTGTGCCAGTTTTCGAAGGGAATGCTTCCAGTTTTTGCCCATTCAGTATAATACTGGTTGTGGGTTTGTCATAGATAGCTCTTATTATTTTGAGATACGTTCCATCAATACCTAGTTTATTGAGATTTTTTTAGCATGAAGAGCTGTTGAATTTTGTCAAAGGCCTTTTCTGCATCTATTGAGATAATCATGTGGTTTTTGTCTTTGGTTCCATTTATGTGAGGGATTACGTTTATTGATTTGCATATGTTGAACAAGCCTTGCATCCCAGGGATGAAGCCAACTTGATCTTGGTGGATAAGCTTTTTGATGTGCTGCTGGATTCGGTTTGCCAGTATTTTATTGAGGATTTTCGCATCAATGTTCATCAGGGATATTGGTCTAAAATTCTCTATTTTTGTTGTGTCTCTGCTAGGCTTTGGTATCAGGATGACGCTGGCCTCATAAAATGAGTTAGGGAGGATTCCCTCTTTTTCTATTGATTGGAATAGTTTCAGAAGGAATGGTACCATCTCCTCTTTGTACCTCTGGTAGAATTTGGCTGTGAATCCATCTGGTCCTGGACTTTTTTTGGTTGGTAGGCTATTAAATATTGCCTCAATTGCAGAGCCTGTTATTGGTCTCTTCAGCAATTCAACTTCTTCCTGGTTTAGTCTTGGGAGGGTGTAGTCTTGGGAGGGTCTAGTTTATTTGCCTAGAGCTTTTTATAGTATTCTGTGATGGTAGTTTGTATTTCCGTGGGATCGGTGGTGATATTCCCTTTATCATTTTTTATTGCGTCTATTTGATTCTTCTCTCTTCTTCTTCTTTATTAGTCTTGCTAGCAGTCTATCAATTTTGTTGATCTTTCCAAAAAACCAGCTCCTGGATTCATTGATTTTTTGAAGGGTTTTTTTGTGTCTCTATCTCCTTCAGTTCTGCTCTGATCTTAGTTATTTCTTGCCTTCTGCTAGCTTTTGAATGTGTTTGCTCTTGCTTCTCTAGTTCTTTTAATTGTGATGTTAGGGTGTCGATTTTAGATCTTTCCTTCTTTCTCTTGTGGGTATTTAGTGCTGTAAATTTCCTTCTACACACTACTTTGGATGTGTCCCAGAGATTCTGGTATGTTGTATCTTTGTTCTCATTGGTTTCAAAGAACATCTTTATTTCTGCCTTCATTTCGTTATTTACCCAGTAGTCATTCAGGAGCAGGTTGTTCAGTTTCCATGTAGTTGTGCGGTTTTGAGTGAGTTTCTTAATCCCGAGTTCTAATTTGACTGCACTGTGGTCTGAGAGACAGTTTGTTGTGATTTCTGTTCTTTTACATTTGCTGAGGAGTGTTTTACTTCCAACTACGTGGTCAATTTTGGAATAAGTGCAATGTGGTGCTGAGAAGAATGTATATTCTGTTGATTTGGGGTGGAGAATTCTGTAGATGTCTATTAGGTCTGCTTGGTGCAGAGCTGAGTTCAAGTCCCGGATATCCTTGTTAACCTTCTGTCTCGTTGATCTGTCTAATATTGACAGTGGGGTGTTAAAGTCTCCCATTATTATTGTGCGGAAGTCTAAGTCTCTTTATAGGTCTCTCAGGACTTGCTTTATGAATCTGGGTGATCCTGTATTGGGTGCATATATATTTAGGATAGTTAGCTCTTCTTGTTGAATTGATCCCTTTACCATTATATAGTGGCCTTCTTTGTCTCTTTTGATCTTTGTTAGTTTAAAGTCTGTTTTATCAGAGACTAGGATTGCAACACCTGCTCTTTTTTTTTTTTGCTTTCCATTTGCTTAGTAGATCTTCCTCCATCCCTTTATTTTGAGCCTATGTGTGTCTCTGCACGTGGGATGGGTCTCCTGAATACAGTACACTGATGGGTCTTGACTCTTTATCCAATTTGCCAGTCTGTGTCTTTTAATTGGGGCATTTAGCCCATTTACATTAAGGTTAATATTGTTATGTGTGAATTTGATCCTGTCATTATGATGTTAGCTGGTTATTTTGTCCGTTAGTTGATGCAGTTTCTTCCTAGCATCAATAGTCTTTACAATTTGGCATGTTTTTGCAGTGGCTGGTACTGGTTGTTCCTTTCCATGTTTAGTGCTTCCTTCAGGAGCTCTTGTAAGGCAGGCCTGGTGGTGACAAAATCTCTCAGCATCTGCTTGTCTGTAAAGGATTTTATTTCTCCTTCACTTGTGAAGCATAGCTTGGCTGCATATGAAATTCTGGGTTGAAAATTCTTTTCTTTAAGAATGTTGAATATTGGCCCCCACTCTCTTCTGGCTTGTAGGGTTTCTGCCGAGAGATCCACTGTCAGTCTGATGGGCTTCCCTTTGTGGGTAACCCGACCTTTCTCTTTGGCTGCCCTTAGCGTTTTTTCCTTCATTTCAGTCATGGTGAATCTGACAATTACGTGTCTTGGGGTTCTCTTCTCAAGGAGTATCTTTGTGGTGTTCTCTGTATTTCCTGAATTTGAATGTTGGCCTGCCTTGCTAGGTTGGGGAAGTTCTCCTGGATAATTCCTGAAGAGTGTTTTCCAGCTTGGTTCCATTCTCCCAGTCACTTTCAGGTACACCAATCAAATGTAGATTTGGTCTTTTTTCATAGTCCCATATTTCTTGGAGGCTTTGTTTGTTTATTTTTACTCTTTTTTCTCTAAACTTCTCTTCTTGCTTCATTTCATTAATTTGACCTTCAATCACTGATGCCCTTTCTTCCACTTGATCGAATCGGCTACTGAAGCTTGTGCGTGCATCACGTAGTTCTCATGCCATGGTTTTCAGCTCCATCAGGTCATTTAAGGTCTTCTCTACACTGTTTATTCTAATTAGCCATTCATCTAATCTTTTTTCAAGGTTTTTAGCTTCCTTGCAATGGGTTCAAACATCCTGCTTTAGCTCAGAGAAGTTTGTTATTACCGACTTTCTGAAGCCTACTTCTGTCAACTCATCAAAGTCCTTCTCCGTCCTGCTTTATTCTGTTGCTGGTGAGGAGCTGCAGTCTTTGGAGGAGAAGGGGCGCTCTGGTTTTTAGAATTTTCAGCTTTTCTGCTCTGGTTTCTCCCCATCTTTGTGGTTTTATCTACCTTTGGTCTTTGATGATGGTGACCTACAAATAGGGTTTTGGTGTGGATGTCCCTTTTGTTGATGTTGATGCTATTCCTTTCTGTTTGTTAGTTTCCTTCTAACAGTCAGTCCCTCAGCTACAGGTCTGTTGGAGTTTGCTGGACGTCCACTCCAGACCCTGTTTGCCTGGGTATCACCAGCAAAGGCTGTAGAACAGCAAATATTGCTGCCTGATCCTTTCCCTGGAAGTTTGTCTCAGAGGGGCACCCGGCTGTATGAGGTGTCAGTCTGCCCCAAATGGGAGGTGTCTCCAAGTTAGGCTACACGGGGGTCAGGGACCCTCTTGAGGAGGCAGTCTGTCTGTTCTCAGAGCTCAAACACTGTGCTGGGAGAACCACTGCTCTCTTCAGAGCTGTCAGACAGGGACGTTTAAGTCTGCAGAAGTTTCTGCTGCATTTTGTTCAGCTATGCCCTGCCCCCAGAGGTGGAGTCTACAGAGGCAGGTTGACCTTTTTGAGCTGTGGTGGGCTCCACCCAGTTCAAGCTTCCCGGTAGCTTTGTTTATCTACTCAAGCCTCAGCAATGGCAGACGCCCCTCCCCAGCCAGGCTTGCTGCCTCACAGTTCGATCTCAGACTAGCAGTGAGCAAGGCTCCATGGGAGTGGGACCCGCTGAGCCAGGTGTGGGATATAATCTCCTGTTGTGCCGTTTACTAAGACCTTTGGAAAAGCCAGTATTTAGGTGGCAGTGTCCCAATTTTTGTGGTACAGTCTATCACAGCTTCCCTTGGCTTGGGAAGGGAAATCCCCTGACCCCTTCCACTTCCCAGGTGAGACAATGCCCCACCCTGCTTCAGCTCACCCTTCATGGGCTGCAGCCACTTTCTGACCAGTCCCAGTGAGATGAACCAGGTACCTCAGTTGGAAATGCAGAAATCACCGGTCTTCTGCGTCAATCACGCTGGGAGCTGCAGACCAGAGCTGTTCCTATTCGGCCATCTTGGAACGGACTCCGGTTTTCCATATGATTTAAAGTGCTTTACATTACCTGTTTGTGAATGTCAAATGGCCTATCATTTGTGTGTCTTTGTGTGTGCCTGTGTGTGTTTCTATCTCTATGCATATCTGTGTGTGTGTCTTTGTATGTCTGTATGTGTGCCTGTGTGGCCATATGTGTCTGTGTATGTCTCTGTATGTCTCTGTGTATGTCTGTATGTGTGTGTCTATGTGTGTGTCTGTGTATGTGCCTGCATGTGTGTCTGTATGTGTCTCTGTGTATATCTGTATGTTTGTATGTTTATATTTCTCTCTGTGTATGTCCGTGTGTGTGTCTATGTATGTCTATATCTGTATATGTGTGTGTGTCTGTGTTTGTCTCTGTGTGTTTGTCTGTATGTGTGTGTCTATGTTTGTCTATGTA
This sequence comes from Homo sapiens, assembly GCF_000001405.40. Lineage (NCBI taxonomy): Eukaryota > Metazoa > Chordata > Mammalia > Primates > Hominidae > Homo > Homo sapiens. The sequence continues at coordinate 106,043 of NW_003315940.1, forward strand.
TGTGTGTATCTGTATGTACCTCTGTGTGTGTATGTGTGTCTGTGTATGTGTGTGTGTGTCTGTGTATGTTTGCAATGTGTATATTTCTCTCTGTGTATGTCCGTGTGTGTGTCTATGTATGTGTGTCTGTATCTGTATATGTGTATGTGTGTGTATATCTGTATGTGTATGTCTTTGTGTCTGTCTCTGTGTGTGTGTCTGTAAGTGTGTGTGTGTCTGTAATGTGTCTCTGTGTGTATCTGTGTGTGTCTGTGTATGTCTGTATGTGTGTGTCTGTATGTGTCTCTGTGTGTATTTGTGTGTCTGTGTATGCCTGTATGTGTGTGTCTGTGTATGTGTGTGTGTGTCTGTCTGTGTCTCTGTATCTGTGTGTGTCTGTGTATGCCTGTATGTGCGTGTCTGTGTATGTGTGTGTGTGTGTGTCTGTGTGTGTCTCTATATTTGTGTGTCTGTGTATGCTTGTATGTGTGTGTCTGTGTGTGGGACTATGTATGTGTGCGTGTGTGTGTTTTTTCCTTCTAGGTCCTTCTTGGGGCTTGCCTTCTTGGCCACATCTTTAATGACCTGGATATAATTTTTATGAGGACTTAGACATTAGCTATCACTTTCCATTAACATCTTGCAATAAATTTTCTGATCAGCTGACTAGAGCCTAGACTTTGGAGAGGAAGCAGGGGAAACAATTTAGCTCCAAAAATTAACTAGGCCTGCCTGAAATTATTGTTCAGACAAGCCTTGGGTTGTGGTTTTGCATAACAGAGTTCCAAATTTAATATCATTCTGACTTAAAACTTCATCTGGTCTTCCAGTGATGACCTTGATTAATTGTGCTTAAAGATTTCTGAAGATGTGTAATATTTTGAATTGAATATGACAGGGGTTTTAATATATTCAACCTCCTGCATTTCATTTTTGTGACTGAGGAGACTGGGTCAGCTTTTAGCATCCTATAAATTACCTCCTCTTTACTCTTGCTTTTTTTTAAAATAACAGCTTTATTGAGATATAATTCACATGCCATATATATACTTCCCCAGTTTAAAGTATATGATTCAATGGTTTTTAGTATATTCCCAGAGTTATGCAACCACCTCCACAGTAAATTTTAGAACGCTTCCATTGCCCCAAAAGCAACTCCTTCCCATTAGCATTCCCTCCCCATCTCTCTAATATGCCCCTTCCTTGAGATCCTGGCAACCAATATTTTTTTTTCTGTGTGTATGAATTTGTCTATTCTGGATATTTCATAAAAATAGAATGATATAATATGTAGTATTTTGTGACTAGCTTCTTTCACTTAGCATAATTTTTAGGTTTATTCATGTTGTATTAGGTAACAGTGCTTCATTTCTGTTTTTTTCCTCTTAATAATACTCCATGATATGCATATACCATATTTTGTTTATCCATTCATTAGTTGATGGACATTTGAGTTGTTTCCAATTTGGGCTATTAGGAGTAAAATGTTGCTATAAACATTCTTGCATAAGTCTTTGTATGGACATAGGTTTTTAATTTTCCCGAGTATGTACCTAGGAGTGGAAATGCTGCATGATAGGTTTACTCCACATTTAACCTTTTGTGGAGCTGCCAGACTGTCTTCCAAAGTGGCCAAACCATTTTACTTTCTTACTGTAAGTAGATGAGGTTTCCAATTTCTCCTCATCTTTGGCAGTATTAGTCATTTTATGTTTTTTTTCTATACAGCAAGCCTAATGGGTGTAAAGTAGCATTTCATTTTCATGTATTGCATTTCCTTCATGGCTAATAATTCCAGGCATCTCTTCCTGTGCTTATTGGCCAGTTGTATATCTTCCTTAGAGAACTGCCTTTTCAGATCCTTTCCCCATATACAAATTGGGTTACTTTTTATTATCGAATTGTACTTCCTTGGTCTTCTATTTCACTTGCGGATGAGCTACTGGTGTGAAGGCAGAACTTCTGGGCAGCGCACGTGCTCATCTTTTGCTTCCTCCATGACACAGAGAGGTTTCTGTGTCCACATTGCACCTAAGAGTAAATGAAAGCACCGGGGCTGCCAGCCCCTGTGGAAACTTCTCCAGCTCACTCCAGTCCCCACTCAGCCTGCTTCCTGCATCAGCACTACTTGCCTGGCCCTGGAGATATCAGAGTTTAGAATCCTTGATGGAGAATGTGGGGGCACTTAGGGAGGTAAACACTGCACCTTCTTATAGGAAGAAAAGGTAAACAAGCTCAAGTCTTGAATTTACTGATCAGAGATAGCACTTCTTATGTGCTACCCTCCTCTGATGAACATCACTAGAAGATTTTACTCTACAAGCTATAGAGCCATGATCTCATTTTTTTTAAGTACAGGAAATTTCTCATATAGCTGTCTGTTACTTTCTGTTAATTTGGGCATGGAAATGCATTGTAGTATTATAAATTTGGCCAACTCCTAAGTATCAATATAAGCAGGTGAGATATATATATTTTTTTGTAAATATGTTTTGCTGAATTATGTGCCTGGATTTTATAGATGATCATTATAAAGGTGACTCATTTTTCATAATGTGAACATTCCATGAAAACATCTTTAGCGTAATTTGCCTATACAAATTTCTAGAGAAATATATTAAGCAGTCAGGTGTTTACTTATGCTATTTAAATTATTAATTTAATTGAACATATATGTGGTTTTAAAAATCATATCCACAAAATACATTAATTCTAAAATACAATTTATTATTAACCATTTCACATTTCTTGAATCATTTTAATTGCCCTCCTCACTGGCACCTTTAACATTAGTGTCTGCATCGCTAGAGGCACATTCGCAATCCCCTTATAATTTTTCTGAGCAAAACAACTTCACTTCAGTTGAAGTAATTGGGGACATAGCATTGTTTTTAAAGGTTTCAGTGTGGCCACTGGAAATTCCCACACATAGGTTGTTGAAGTTTTGTCTTCCTCTAGGTGGATATTTACTATCACTACAACATAATTGCTTTCCATGTTACTTCTTAAAGCAATATTTAATTGACTTTTAATAATTACTTTTAAAAAATGACTTTTGCATTAATATTCAACACTTATAATTATGAAGCTACATCCCAAGCGGGGAAATATGAAGAAGGCTGTGTTAATTATTTTTGCCTTTTTTCCCCAAACTGTCTATGGCAGTTGACCTCTGTAAATATCTGTATTAGTCTGTTCTCACACTGCTATAAAGAAATATCCATGACTGGGTAATTTATTTTAAAAAAAAAGAGGTTTAATTGACTCACAGTTTCGCATTGCTGGGGAGGCCTCAGGAAACTTACAATCATGGCAGAAGGCAAAGGGGAAGCAGGTGCCTCCTTCACAGGGTAGCAGGATGGAGTAAGTGCCAGCAGAGGAAATGCCAGAAGCTTATAAAACCATGAAGTCTCATGAGACTCACTCACTATCAGAGAACAGCATGAGGGAAACCACCCCCATGACCCAATTACCTCCACCTGGTCCTGCCCTTGACATGTGGGAATTATGGGGATTAGAATTCAAGGTGAGATTTGGGTGGAGACACAGCCAAACCATATCAATATCCAAAGCAGTGTTGGGTGAGAGTGTTTCACACATTTGTCTCCCCAAGCACTACTTGTTTTGTGTACAGATTAAAACAAATGAGAGGATGCTGTGTCATATGAGAGATTTCATGAGGATTTGAATGTAAGAAAACTTTAATTTTTGTTGCCTTAGGGACCTTTTAGGGGAAATCTTTTGCCTTCTATTCAACAATATCCAACAGTCTCTTGTCCAACATTTTACCTTGGGAAAGTTCTGTGATGCATTGCTGATTCAAATGTAGACGTTTCATACATTTTTCTCCCTTCTGAATAACTCTACCTCTGCCTGCCACTCTTTTGTGTGTGAAACGTGTGTCAATGGAAAGGACTTGAGGTCAGGATTTAGGAGGTCTGTCTTCCTGTCTGAGCTTCAAAAGCAATTCCCAACAAAGAAAACCTACATGTGCCAGGTTCTGTACTGATTTCTGTGAATAGGTGGTCCAGGCCTTCAAGGAGCTTACAGCCAGGCAAGGGAGAAAGGCAATGAGTTGATAGTAACATTAAAAAAGAACTAGAGTGATGTGTAATAACAGAGGTCAGACATGCCTCATGTGGAAATCTCTGAGCAAAAAACATTTGGACTGAGATGAAAAGAATGAGTAGTTTAACAGTGTGAAAACTGTGGATGAGAGGAAAAGAAGATATTGTTCTAGGCAGAAGGAAATAAGAGCTAAAGGCTCTGAGGTGGGGAAATCATAGTACATTCATTGTTGGTGGTCAGTGGAGCACCATGAGGTTGGAGCATTGAACAACAGAAAGAGTGGTGTGAGATGAACCTGCAGAGGTAAATGGTGTAAACAATGAAAAAGGACAGTTCTTTCTTGATATGAATAACTATAGGAAACCATTGATGTATCTAAACGAGGGCAAAACAATATATTTTCATTTATAAAAGTGCTCTCTGGCTACAGTGTAGAATTGGGAGGGGAGGTGGTTAGAAGTAATTGGAATTGTCCAGCTGAGAGATGATGGAGGCTTGGATTAAGAAAGATACCAGTGGAGAGAAAAACTGGCATACTCAAGAGAGATTGAAGAGTAAAATCAAGAGAACTAGTGATAGATTGGATATGGAAGATGAGGAAGAAGGAGAGATTGAGAAAGAAAGACTGGTTTCTGGCTTATACAATTGCTGGTTATTATATGTGAAAATGATGGATGGGTCATGAACTTGAAGTTGGACATGCTGAGTTTGAGATACCTCTGATCTACTCATGTGAAGATGTCAAAGAACCCAATGGACATGAAGACTTAATCTGCAAGTATAAATTGGGGTAAACAGAAGAGCAATGTCTGGGGGTTTATATCTTGCAAAATGAGCTGTATGGTGGCTCCACTCACTGAGGTGGGGAGTCCTTCAGGCAGCCCCAGCCTGATCTTGCACCCCTAAAAGTAGTGTGTATCTCTGAACCAGTCACCTTGATGGCCTTAGTTGCTTCATCTAGAAAATAAAATTGTAGGTACCTTGAAGTTTTGTGATTCTGTGTTGGATTGATTGTTAATTTTATGTCTTCTGCACATGAAGAAATAGTTGCCCCACCTTCTCTTCCATACCTAGACACACAAATGACAGTTTCCTGAAATTTTTTTTTTTAGACAGAATCTCACCCTGTTGCCTAGGCTGGAGTGCAGTGGTATGATCATAGCTCACTGCAACCTCTGCCTCCTGGGTTCAAGCAATTCTCCTGGCCTTAACCTCCCAAGTAGCTGGAACGGCATCCACCAGGACATCCGGCTAGTTTTTGTATTTTTAGTGGAGATGGGGTTTCACCATGTTGGCCTGGCTGGTTTCAAACTCCTGACCTCAAGTGATCCACCCGCCTCGGCTTCCCAAAGTGCTGGGATTACAGGCGTGAGCCACTGTACCTGGCCGAAATATTTTATTTGGTCATGAAGATGATGTGGTTTTGAAAAGAAGGGCTTACACTGGGTAAACCTTAAACTGCTAACCTTTGTATCTTGAAGAGATTTTCTAAGAGCTGAATCAAAAGATCATAATGAACATGGTAGACTCTCATTGCTATTTTGCAAAGTTTTGTTCCAAGGGCATAAATATAATTATACCCATGTTTCAGTGCAGCTCTGAGCACTTGCCTACCTGTTCTTTAATCTGAGAACATGAGTGCTGTGATTATAACATATAAATTTTGGGAGACACAATTCAGTCCATAGCACTTATGGTCTCAGGTACCCCAACAGATGTTGAGAAACCAAAGGTGGGAATGACTTTCAGAGAGAAGGTTGTGAGTCTGATGCTCTTGAGGCCCAGATCTTAGTGGGAGGCAAACCTGGCCCTTAGGGACCCTGGCGCTGGGGAAGCAACATCCACAGTGGGTGGAAATGGGCTGGGCTTGGGGTTCAGATGGGGCTGACTCTGCTGCTTATTAATAGAAAGGGAAATTCAGAGGGTTATGAAGATCACAGACTCAGAGCCAGAAGCTGGTCATTAATAAAAGTTTCATGAGAGAAAATTACATAAGTTCTTTGAGTCTCAATTATTTCACCCAAAATGTGAATAATAATAGTACTTGCCTCACAGGATTGTTGTAAAGCAGGGGTCCTGAACTCTCCTGCCACAGGTCCATGGCCTGTTAGGAACCAGGCCACACAGCAGGAGGTGAACAGCAAGTGAGGGGGTGAAGCTTCATCTGTAGTTACAGCTGCTCCCCATTGCTCACATTACCACCTGAGCTCTGCATCCCATCAGATCAGCTGTGGCATTAGATTCTCAAAGAAGTGTGAACCCTATAGTGAACTGTGCATGTGAGGGATCTAGGATGCATGCTCCTTATGAGAATCTAATGCCTGATGATATTTCACTGTCTCCCATCACCCCCATATGGGCCATCTAGTTGTAGGAAAACAAACTCAGAGCTCTTCCTGATTCTTCATTATAGTAAGTTGTATAATTATTTCATTATATATTACAATGTAGTAATCATAGAAATAAAGTGCACAATAAATGTAATGCTCTTGCATCATCCTGAAACTATTGCCCCCCACCCCTTAACCCCATCCATGGAAAAATTATCTTCCAAGAAACTGGTCCCTGGTGCCAACAATATTGGAGACCACTGCCACCAAGGCTCAATGAAATGACGCATGAAAATCATTGAGGTGCTTAACGGTCATTATTCACTCTCTACTTTCCTATTTTTCATAACCCATGATATTCTTTCTTAGATACCCTACCTGTAAATATCAACCAGTATTTATATAGTATAAGATTAAAAGTGTGGGCTTCGAATTCAGACTGGATTCACCACTTACAGATGTGTGACCTTGGACAAGTAACTTAAACTCTCTGTTCCTCACTTTCCTGATCTCCAAATTGGGGATGATAATTTCCCATAGTGTTGTTCTGAAGATTTAATTTTATAATGTGTACAACACACTCAGAACAACGCCTGGCACATGGTAGACATGTGATAGACGTTAGGTTTACTGCGTGAGTTGAAGTAGTGTACTTTATTGTACTGGTTAAAATCATGTTGTAATAAATAGAACCCAGGGCACATAATAGCCCAAACACAATATAAATTAATTTTTTCTCTCACACAATAGCTCATGGCTGGTGGGCAAGTCTTTTCTATGACTCTGAGAACCAGCTGAGCCATCTCCCTGGAATCTCAGCACTGCCTGCAACTGGCTGAAGAAAAAGAGAGGAGAGCATGGAGGGAGGGGAGAGGCAAAGCACTTTTTAAAAGCCTTGGCCTGAAAGTAGCATGTACCATTTTCTCTCTGGTGTAACTGCAAGAGTTGTTCTCATGCCCAAGCCTAAATGAAGAGGGCTGGGTAAGACAAGCCCCATTGGGCAGCAGCTTCCCAGCCACTGCTCGGCACTGTGGAGGAGGGAAGGGCTGGCTTCCTGTGGAAAGCTGGCTGCCTCCTCTCCCATTCCCTTGTTAGCACCTGTCATTCTAAGATGTGGTGGTCCATGTTTGAAAAATGGGCCCCCTTCTGTTGGGCCATTAGGATCTGACCGGTTCTCCAAGACCTCTTTGATGTTCTGTCGGCTGCTGGAAAGTACATGGTAACCCAACCTTCTGGTTATTGGTTAGGACGCCCAATATTCCCCAAAACAGCCTCAAGTACTTGGCTTCCTCACCCTTTAATCTGTGTGTAGACCAGTGCAGTGTCTTTAAGCAGTAATTATTTCCCCCACATAGATATGACAAACCCAGAGCCAATCTGCACAGCCAAAAGAAAGTGCAGCTATTTACCTTGTAACAAGGTGTTTCAGAATCAGGGGGAATAAAAAAATCCTTCATTTCCAGCAAAAAGACAAGGTAAAACATAGATTATAGGCTGATATGTTTTCCTAGCACTGGAATTATACAGCAACTTTGCCTCTGGAGAGGTACATTAATAACACATCTCAGAAAATATGTTACTTAAACTGAAGAGATATTTTCTTCTTGAAGGGAAACATTTAATGATGGTATTAAGTTAACACAATCCATCGGCAGTCGCAAGAGCATCATCGTAATTTGGTTGGATTCTAGCAAGTTCAGGAAAGTAAATTATCTCTGCTCCCTGACACTGCAGTGTTTAAGAATGTGATCTGTGGCCTGAAGGAGGAATGGAAAAAGAAAATATGTCCTTGATTTTTTAAGGCTGAATTTAAATCGTTTGACTCAAAATAAAAACATAGATTGAGAAATCTAATTATCCTATCCATCCCCACTCCATGCCCTCGAATCTGAAAAATAAGCCATTGCTATTAATTTATATAGACCCCCTTTGTTTTACAGTTCAAGTAAAAGCAAATAGGAATCTATGTATTCTTATATCCTTAGGCCCTATTTCTTATACAAAATATAGCATCCTGTACACTGCTCTATACATTGCTTGTTTCACTTAACAATGTATCCTAGAGATCTTCCCATAGCTACATGGATAGTGACCTCACTTTCTCTAAGCTCGTGGTACTTCAGTGTAGGGTATATCAGAGTTGGCTTTCAGGTTTTTTTTAATACCTTTGTTTGAATAAAATCTATTTGCTGTATTCACTCCTCCAAGTGGAATGTGGCCTGATATTTGTCCAATCATTCACCGTTTTCAAAGTCCCTCTAACTTGGCGCTTACAACAGCTTTGTAAAGATAATGCTAATACCTATTTTTACAGTTGTAGCTGAGGCCACACACTCACCAAATGACACCAACACAACCACATTATTCCCCCCAGAGCCATCGCTGTGTCCTCCGCTCCTGGGGTCAGTGCGGGAGGGCTTCCTACAGCTAGCACTCCTCTCTGGGGTCAACGTCCTTCCCTCACCCCTACTGGTGAAATATGATTTGAGATCTCCAACTTCCGTGCAATTGATTTTGGTCTTTTGAGACTAGAGTTTGCAGAGTGAGTATGAAGCCATGCTGTTAAAAAGAATTATCAACTTAATAATAGTGAATTTGAAAAATAGTTGCAAGCCCTCTAAGCAATGGGAGATTGGAAGAAGGAAGAAAGCCAAAATGGCTCAACTTTTAGTTAAATATATCTGAAATTGTATATACCTATGAAAATACTTGTCTCCCCATACAAATCTGTCACCCAATACGATCTGGGGCTGAGTCAAATTTACTCCCACACCCACTAACTCTCCATGCAAAACTTAAGACAAATCCTAATACACAATAGGTGTCTGAGTGGATTAATAAAATCCACATGGCTGGGCTCAGCATGAGGAGGGGGAAGAGCCTGGCCCCTGGCCTTGGCTTGACAACATTCCCAAGAAGCTCAGATTTCCAGTGGAAGCACGGCACATGCATGTTCTTTCTGGGTTGGTCCATGGCAGTTCAGTGAGGGACAACTGATTTGTTTTTGTTTTTGCACATCTGTGTCACTCTGCGTGGTCAGCTAATGCCCAGTACTTGCAAAAGAAAGTGGCTGTCCTGTGTTAGAACATGATAATAGATAATGCCTCATGGTAGATCTTTAAGCAGGGAGAGTGGCCACTGAGTCCACGAATGAAACAGAAAGAGGGAAGCCAGACGTCCACTGAAGATTCTAATTCAAAGTTAAAGGGGACACTAGAAATGTTTCTCTTTCCAGCGTGCTGCCATGCAAAGACGTTCACAGCAATGAGTTAGTTAAATTATAAATTAAATTTATTTTTGAGAACCTATTAGATATCAGACACTGTTTTTCCTGGATTTACAGACATGAATAAAAGGGACGCAGTTCTCTGTCACTGGTGGAGTTGTCGGTTTCCAAAAACACAAAAATGAGTAAGACATTCTTCCTTTCTTAAACCAATTAATATCACATTTCTAAATATCAATGAATTTACTTTTGGAGGGTATCACTGTTACTGATATCATCTATGTTGTTACAGACTTAGTATGTTCTATTTTTCTTACTTTATTTTATTTTATATTTTATTTAATTTTTTGAGACAGAGTCTCGCTGTTGCCCAGTCTGGAGTGGAGTGGCGCGACCTCGGCTCACTGCAACCTCTATCTCCAGGATGCAAGGGATTCTCGTGTCTCAGCCTCCCAAGTAGCTGGGACTATAGGCGAGTGCCACCATGCCCAGCTAATTTTGGCCAGGCTGGTCTCAAATTCCTGGCCTCAAGTGATCCATCTTCCTCGGCCTCCCAAAGTGCTGGGATTACAGGCATGAGCCACCATGCCCAGCCCCATCTTTCTAATTTTAATCAATTTATTTAAATAAAATTTTTCATCACTACCATAAATAGACAAGTGCTCTTATTTGTTAATAAATTAAATATAAAAACTAAAGCAAAGAAACAAACTCACGTTATTAAATTTTCTCTGCACGCTGTATGTACTGATACAGTGTACAGATGCAGTGTGGGCTTTGGGCTTCTGAATCTGCTAAATAAGGGGGTTAGCAAGGGTCAGCGAGGCATTAAAGAATCCTAGAACACAAGAGAGGTTTTTGCCTCATCATCATGATCAGATGGACTGAAATAAAATAGAAAGGGAGTAACTTAATACTCCATGAGTCAACGCTACTCAGTTCTGGTCCATGTGTCACCTGATATCACCCCCAGGAATGTGGCCCTGGGGATGCTCACTGTGCTTAGGCGAGTTCGCATGTGAAAGTTTAGTGGTCTTGAGGTTTTTCAGGAGCCTTGTGGCCTGAGAGTCAGATGAAATTAGACCCAAAACTGCTATTAATGTGCCAGGTGGTTCATGTCATTTACTGCTTTGAGTATGCATTTCCTTATGCATAAATAAGATGATATTAACTTCCAGTATATCATATAATTAACACAAACAAGAAAAAAATGTTATTGGAGTGTGGTGACAGTAACAAAGGAAGGAAGCTGGCCTGGGCCTGGATTCCACCTCTGCAGATCATTAGCAATGCGTCTTTGAGAAGTTACTCAACTTCTCTGTGTCTTGAATGCCTCTTCTGCACAAGCAGGATGACAATGATACCACTTTATTAGGTCTTTGGCAAATATTATGTGAGTTAACTACATGCAGCTGACACATAGCAGATGGTGAATTAATGTTAGTTCTCATTATTATATAAAGCATAGAATGGCATTTGGCACGAAGTAGGAATTTGTGCAATATGAAGCTGCTACCAACCCTTTCTCTCATACATGACTCTGTATCCACTGATGGTTATCGGATTATTCAGCCAGGAAGAAGGAGGGATGGCTCTCCAAAGACTGAAGGGGATAGATGGGGGAGGACAGGGTATGAACAGGTTGAAGTTATTTTATGGTTTCCTGTTGCATCAACTCTACTAGTTGGAATTTTTAGATGACAGGAGGAGATGGGCTTTGTGATCCTAAAGAGCATAAATGTCAGAGGAGACTATTTCTGTAGAGCTAAAAAATAATGGCTCAATGGAATCAGACTGAAACAGCACTGAGCAATGATGAATGATTCTGGGGGATCTAAAATAGTAGACAAAGGGGCACTGTCCAGTCTTGCCTTGCAAGACCCTAGAAGGAGTGAACCTTCGAGAGGGATGTTAGGGCCACTTAAAATGCTCCACCTAGAAGTCAAAGAGATCATTGAAAGTGATGGATTTGGAAGGAATAAATCCAGAGGAGGCTCCAGAGAGGATGCAAACTGCCAACTGAATGTGTTTTTCAGGATTGAAGCAACTGTGGAAATAAAGGAGCCAACTGGAATGAAATTAAACAAATACTACCCTAAGTAGAGTCACCCATTCCAGGATTGCTTTCCTTGCTCTTCACTTTCTCTTGCTCACGCCTTCTTAGAACACAAAAATGGGACCCATGGCCTCAGATAAAGAACAATTTTTCCTACTTTTAATTTTGTGTATAAGGGATTCCCCCTCAGCCCGCCTTCCAACCATAGACAACAACAGAGACCTTCTTCCATAGTTCTTTGCAATTCATAGAAAGACCACTGGGACTTATTTTATCCTGATTACATAGATGTGAGATTGGCAAAGGCAGGTCAATGTTTTCTTTTACAAGATATAAGAACAAAATAGTTTCAGACAGACTCCAGTCACATGGGTAGTTAGTGTTGGAAACAAAAATCCAAGCAGGTCTTCTGTCTTAGGATGTCATATCCCATTAACAGACCAGGATTTCTGAATTGCAGCCACCTGAAAATACTTTTTCATTTCAATGGAAATTACATGACCTTGTTCTCTAGAGAGTCTAATTTAGTTGGTCTGAAGCAGAGCCCTAGAAATTATAGTTTTTTTAGAAAACTCCCTGGGTAATAATAAGATTTGGAAATCACTGAATTGTCCATAATCTGTCCCGTAGCTGAGTTTCAGATGAAGAAAACATTTTTTTCCATTCAATCTCAGAATGACATATAATAACATTCTCTTTCACAGCATTTAGAAAATAAATGGGTATTTTTATGTGATTTTTTTTTTTTTACTGTGCTGTTGCTCTTGTTGTTGTTATTCTTGTGCTCTGGGTCACAGAGTATTTTTATTTTCATTTCTGTTTCATAACATTCACCCACTCATTCATTCAACAATCAACATTTTCAGCCTTTTCTAAGAGCGAAGCACTATGGCACACCTGGTAGGGATAAACCCATGAATAACTTGTGGTCCCTCCACTCAGATAAGTGCAACCTGTCTATAACTTCTCTAAGAAAAAAAGGCATTAATAATGTTCTTACAAAAGTTATAAAATGGTGATTTATTTTCCAATATGCTTTTAACCTTGGGAGTGAACTTGTTGAAGTCTCTGCCCATCCTTGCATTTGAAGCAGACTGTAAAGCTTTTATCTAAAGAAATTAGGCTTAACAGTCTGGAAAACTATGAGGTGGGGAAGATTGGGGATCCACAGGGAGACAGACCTAGTATATTATTCTGTTCTCACGCTGCTAATAAAGACATACCCAAAACTAGCTAATTTATAAAGAAAAGAGGTTTAATTGACTCACAGTTCCACATGGCTGTGGAGGCTTCACAATCACAGCAGAAGATGAAGGAAGAGCAAAGGAATGCCTTACATGGCAGCAGGCAAAGAGAGAATGAGAGCCAAGTGAAAGGGATTTCCGTTATAAAACCATCAGATCTTATGAGACTTATTCACTACCATGAGAACAGAATGTGGGAAACTGCCACCATGATTTAATTAACTCCTACTGGGTCCCTCCCACACATGTGTGTATTAGTCTGTTTTCACACTGCTGATAAAGACTTACCTGAGACTGGGCAATTTGCAAAAGAAGGAGGTTTAACTGGACTTACAGTTCTGTGTGGCTGAGGAAGCCTCACAATCAAGGCAGAGAGCAAGGAGGAGTAAATCACATCTTATGTGGATGGCAGAAGGCAAAGAGAGGAGCTTGTGCAGGGAAACTCCCCTTTGTAATACCATCAGATCTCATGAGACTTATTCACTATCAGGAGAATGGCATGGGAAAGACCCACCCTCATGATTCAATTACCTCCCACCAGGTCTCTCTCACAACACTTGGGAATTCAAGATGAGATTTGGGTAGGGACACTGCCAAATCATATCAGTGTGGGAATTATGAGAGCTACAATTCAAGATGAGATTTGGGGGGGACACAGCCAAACCATATCACCCAGCCTCAGAGGGGACACCCATGCAGAGCCACTGCATCACCTGTTGATGGAGCAAAAGATGATCTATCTGGAATATTTTTAAAGGAGCTACCTAAAAAGAAAGATGCAGCAAAGAGTCATAAACAAGTTATTTATTTATTTCTTTTTAGAGACGGAGTCTTGCTTTGTCACCCAGGCTGGACTGCAGTGGCACAATCACGACTCACTGCAGCCTTAGATTCCTAGGCTCAAACCATGCTTCCGCCTCAGCTTCCCAAGTATATAGGACTACAGGGGTGTCCCACTATGCCCAGCTAAAGAAAATTTTGAAAAGCAACACATGTGATGAGAAAAGTGGCCAGTGTAGGAAATGCACATACACACCAAAACACGTGATTGTGTGAATCTGTGTTGTTGGTGTTGGGGAAGAGGATGGAGTGGGCTGGAGACAACAGGAGGTGGCATACAGGACACTGACCAATGGCAGGTGTGAGCTTCCCTCCATGCATCATCCTTGTGGAGTTGCAGGTGCTGTCAGGACTTGTCTACATGGGGCTCCTTGTGTGTTTTAAGGGAAAGGAGATGGATCCACCCTGCCTGAGGTGGGAGCTAGGAGGTCTCAGGATGGAAATGCCTCCCAGAAGACAGGGCATCCTAAGAAATGCTGTCCTTCTATGAGATGGTTGGTAACTCCCAAGGAAGTTGGAGAAAGGAGACAGAGCAGGACTTATTTGGAAAATAAATCCTACATTGTTTTCATTTCTATGGATGTTAAGAGAGAACTTCTTTGTGGTCAATTTTGGTGCTTGTTTTGCCTTTTGAAGCAGCAGGAATAGAATTTTTTTTTTGTTTTAACTTAGAAGAGATGAACATTTTAACTCTTATGTTCAGGGGCACATATGCAGGTTTGTTACATAGGTAAACTTGTGTCATGGAGGTTTGTTGTTTAGATTATTTCCCTACCCAGGTATTAAGCTTAGTACTCATTAGTTGTTTTTTCTGATCCTCTCCCTCCGCCCACCCTCCACCCTCTGAAAGGCCCCAGTGTGTGTTGTTCCCCTATGTGTGTCCATGTGTTCTCATCATTTAGCTCCCACTTATAAATGAGAACATGTGGTGTTTGGTTCTCTGTTCCTGTGTTAGTTTGCTAAGGATAATGGCCTCCAGCTCGATCTATGTCCCCACAAAGGATATGATCTCATTCTTTGTTATGGCTGCATAGTATTCCATGGTGTATATGTATCACATTTTCTTTATCTAGTCTACTATTGATGGGTATTTAGGTTGATCCCATGTCTTTGCTATTGTGGACAGTTGCAATGGATAGAATCTTGATGAGTGGACTCATAAATCCTTCTTAAAGCCTTGATCGCACTTTGAGTGACTGAATACTCACCGACCCCACACTCTCACTCTGTTTGCGTATTCAGGGCTCCAGTGGAGTTCTTAGGAAAAAGGGTTAGGCAGGGGCTTGGAATAAATTCCAAGATTAAATATGTCATCCCCTTCTCCTCTGTTATTAAGAAATGATGCTGCACATCTTCCTTGAGAAAATATTGGGTGGATTTGAGTGAGAAGTTACAGTCCCACTTTGCAGAAGGTGAATGTTGTGCTCCAGAGAAGTGAGATGACCTGGCTTTAGACAGGGTTACATTGTTACAGAGGGTGGGTCACAAAATGTAAAGAAACGTCTTGAAATTCAAATTATGAAAAATAATTTGGCTACATCTCACCCATTCAATATGTTTTGGTTGCTTTGAAAAAAAACATAGACAAAATGAAAAAGAGGCTGGGTGTGGTGGCTCACACCTGTAACCCCAGCACTTCGGGAGGCTGAGGCGGGTGGATCATGAAGTCAGGAGTTCAAGACCAGCCTGGCCAAGATAGTGAAACCCTGTCTCTACTAAAAACATAAAAATTAGACGGATGTGGTGGTGTGCACCTGTAGTCCCAGCTACTTGGGAGGCTGAGGCAGGAGAATCTCTTGAACTCAAGTGGCAGAGGTTGCAGGGAGCCAAGATCATGCCACTGCACTCCAGCCTGTGCCATAGAGTGAGACTCCATCTCAAAACAAAAACAAAAACAAAAAAAAAAAAGAGTTGCTATTTAACAATAGATTCCACAAATTGGGAGCTCTGACCCCACAGAGAAGCAGACCAGGGGAGGAAGGTTGCAGGCCAAGTGCTGGAGGAGGAGGTGTGGGTGGGATGGAGGATGCAGGGTGGCTGCCCAGCATCTGATATTGTGCCCATGTGTTTCCTTTCCCATGAGAACTAAACAAACTAACATAACATCACCCCATGCTGTGACCAGAGATTCCCTGCAGGGCATCCACTCAGAGAGGACTGGTGCTCAAAGCTGGGGGGGTCAGATAGGGAGGCACTTTTTAAAATCTGTGGTTCCTAACCTTGCCATAACACAATTTACAGCAACCACAATTCACTTTTATGACAGTGTTTTCACAACGAGTGTATCAGAGAGTCTATAAAGAGAGGTGCATTGTCAACATATTAGGAATAAAAGGAAAAAATATCCTCAAACATCATCAAAAGTGAGTGTTTTCCTTTCCTTAGTTTTGGAAATCATTATCTGCTCAAGAAATCAAGTGTCTTGGAGCAATGAATTTCCCAGCATGGGGCATAATGAGAGGAAGGATGGCTGCCTAGGGAAGCAATATTTGATTTTCTAGGCAGAAGAACCAGGACAAGGGGCAGAATATGCTCTCCTGTTGCGCAACTCCAGAGTGAATTAAGTGAAAAAGTGTTTATGTTGAATGGCATCTTCTAACTCTTTATTTGGATGGCGTCTTCTGAGAAGATAGAGTTTGCTGCTAATGGCCACCCTGTTCATCCCCCAGCTTGGCAGCTGTTCAGATTATAAAAGGCAAAAGAGAAGAGTCACGCTCCCACATAGGTCTGCCCATTTCTGCTAGCAATGGGCTGTCTCACTCTGTGGGGAAGATCTGCTGCCCCTTTAATCCCAGTGCTTTGGGAGGACAAGGCAGGCGGATCACCTGATGTCAGGAGTTCAAGACCAGCCTGGCCAACATGGTGAAACCCCGTCTCTACTAAAAAATACAAAAATTAGCCAGGCATGGTGGTATGTGCCTGTAATTCCAGCTACTTGGAAGGCTGAGGCAGGAGAATCACTTGAATCCAGGAGGCAGAGGTTGCAGTGAGCCAAGATTATGCCATTGCACTCCAGCCTGGGTGACAGAGTGAGACTCTGTCTCGAAAAACAAACAAACAAACAAAAAGGTGAGCGGGGGGGCGGTGCGTGATGTGTGGTCAGGAGCAGGAAATGAGGGCCATTATGCAAAGGTTGAGGCTTTTAGAAGAGCAGACCATGTGTGCGTCTTTCTATTCGTTCTATGTGTGTTAACCTATTAATCATCACAATCTTCTTCGGCAATAAATATTTTCTTAGCCAGCTTTACAGATGTGGATCTGGAGCATGATGTGTGAAATATTTTGCCCACTTTCTCATTCCTAAGCTATGAAGCTAGAATGGGAACTCAAGTAGCTTGGCATCGAATTGTTCTGTCTCTTGATAACAGACCTTACCAGGAAGAGCAGGTATTATTCCTGGGCTCCTGGTCCCCCATGAAATTTTGTCTTTCTTCCTAGTTCTGATTCTAATGATTCTCTGCTCAGAGCTTTGCCTCTGGCTTTAGTTCTCCAAAAAGATAAAGAACATATCATTTCCTTTTACTTTAACCTTTTCTGAACTTGTCTATTATTCAAGATATTGACTGAGAAGCAACCAGAGTACATGCAACCCCTCTTGGAAGGAGATGGGATCTCACGTTGAGACTTAATTTGTCTTTAAACTATGTGTGGAAATGCTCAGTTTCCCCAAGAGGAATAACAAGTTTAGGTAAACCCTTCAAATTCGTTAATTCTCTGACTGCAGTTGAAGAAAATCCAGCCAAGACATGCAGAAGGTCGGAAGGAAGGAATGAATGAATAAATAAAGGAAGAAAGGAAGAAACACAGAGAGAGAGAGGAGAGAAAGAGATGCATTGTGTATCCTAACTACACTAGAAACAGACAGGGCTGAGTGTGAGAAGAACTTTGTTCTTGGGCTCAAACAGCATTTAGAATCTTTCTTCCTTTTCCTCCTCTCCTTCCTCTCCTCTTTCTGAATCAGTCTCTACACTGCAGTTGCAGACTGGCCTTTGCTAAGCCATAGGAAATACAACTTCTGACAACTATAGGCTCACATGGGAAAGGTTTCACCTTTCAGAAAGGACAGAAGAGTCTTTGCCGTCAGGCTCAGAAAGAAAAACCACAAAGAAGGACTCTGAATGGCTCAGCTTGGGTCATGTGCCCATCCTCGGACCAATCACTGTGGTTTGGAGGATGGGCGTCTGTAATGGCCCTGCCTTGTGTCCATTCGTGATCAGGGTCCTGGATCAGTGTATTAGTTCCTCATTGTTGCTAAAGCAAAATGCCACAGACTCAAGGATTCAGAAAGATGCATTCTCTTATATTTATGGAAATCTGAAGCCCAAAATGGGTGTTACTGGACTAAAATCCATGTGTTGACAGAGCTGCATTCTTTCTGAAGGCTTCAGGGGAGAATCAATTTCCCTAACTTTTTCATCTTCATCTTCTAAATGCCACCAGTATGTCTTAACTCATGGTCCCTTCCTTCATCCTCAAAGCCAAAGTGAAGCATCTTCAAAGCTCTCATTTTCATTGTCTACTTTCATCATCACATCTCCTTCTTTGACGTTCCTGCCTCTCACTTTTTACTCACGAGGACTCTTAGGATGATAATAAGTCCACCTTGATAATCTAGGACAATCTCCCCATCTCAAGAGCCTTCACATAGTCACCTCTGCAAAGTCTCCTTTGTTATGTATGATAACATATTCAAAGGTTCTGGAGATTAGGCATGGACATCTTTGAGGACTGTTATTCTGCCTTCCACCACCTGTTACTAGGGGACAGAGGGCTCCCACACCACTTCAGACATCAGATGCTCCAAAGCAATAGACTCAGATCATGGACTTGATGCCTGAGTGTAATGGAGTGAGTTCCTTTCTTGGAACAGGCAGGTTTTGTATTGGTATCATATGTAGGCCTATTGTATAGTTGGAGATTGATACAAGTGATATTTGCACAGGGGAGAATCAGCACCTATGGCTTGGGGTTTTGTTTATGCTTCTTTAATCAGAAAAGCACTTGCTTGAGAAGGCGAGATCAAGAGTCCTTGTTGCAATGGCCATACCTCAAGGCATCAACTGAGCTTGATTGCTGGAGAGATGTGGCCTCTGGTAGCCAGACCTGCATTCAAAAGTTA
Source organism: Homo sapiens (assembly GCF_000001405.40). Lineage (NCBI taxonomy): Eukaryota > Metazoa > Chordata > Mammalia > Primates > Hominidae > Homo > Homo sapiens. The sequence goes on from NW_003315940.1 coordinate 124,905, forward strand.
GGTGTGCTACCATTTCTTTGAAACTTTCTAGCAGCTTGCATATAGAAATGCAATTTTAAGAAGCATATTCATAATGAAGAAGCCTAGTGATGTAGAATTTGAGATTTGGCCTGGAAAGCCTGTGTTCAAGTTACCACCAGGCCCCGGTGAACGTGATCAAGACTTTTCACCTCTCTGAGCCCAGATTCACCCTCAGCAATCTCCTTGCTCTTTTTCACCACCAGAGGCCCCCTTGGACCTTCTCATAGCCACTCCCTTTCCTACCAGGCCTTCCTTCACCTCTCTCTTTGAAGCAGTGCCCATCCCCATAAGCATTCAGCCCGTCCTCTTCTCTGCTTACCCACTTACTTGTTTATTTATGTCTCTCCCCAGGTAGGTTGTTAGCTTCCTAGAGTGGGGCCTGTCTAGTTGATCCATGTATGTCCAGAGCCTAGAACAGTGCCTGATTAATAGCGGGTGCATAGTAAATATATTTTTAAGAATATAAATGAAAGGTTCAATTTTACAAATAAGACATGTAAAGTCTAGAGATGTTAAATATAGATCCAAATCTAACAAATAGTACAATTTAGATTAAAGCCTGTCTAGTCTTTCCATTTCCTAGTTCTGTGTTCTTTCAATTATATCAGTGTTTTTCCAACTTTATTGATGATGGCCCAAAGAAAAATATACATTTCATATATCATACACACACGTATATGCATAAAGTTAAAGAAGTCATATAGAAAATATTTTCCCTCACTATTATATGAAAATAAAAGTTTTATTTTATATCAAATGTGATTTTATTACTATTGGACTATTTTATCTTTTTTAATTTGAAAGTTGTGATCCACTAAATCGTCGGAATGGACCGGCCATGGTGGTTCACACCTCTAATCCCAGCACTTTGGGAGACCAAGGCGGGCAGATCACCTGAGATCAGGAGTTCAAGATCAGCCTGGCCAACATGGCAAAACCCCATCTCTACCAAAAAATCGAAAAATTAGCTGCGCGTGATGGCATGTGCCTGTAATCCCAGCTACTTAGGAGACTGAGGCAGGGACAATTGCTTGAATCTGAGATGAAGAGGTTGCACTGAGCAGAGATTGTACCACTGCACTCCAGCCTGGGAGACAGAATGAGAGTCTGTCTCAAAAAAATAAAAATGACAATAAATCAATGTAATGACCCACTAATGATCTGGCATCCATAGTTGGGAAATATTCCCTTGTTTTGTTTTTATGAAAGATGTGTGAAATGGACTGTAATAGAGATAATATCTAATTTTTTTCTTGTGTGGGCATTAGCTAGTTAAGGACATTATTCATACTGTCATATGTCTTTGGTTTGCAAACTGTTATTTTGTCTCTTAAACATCTCTTGAATTGATTTCCTTCCTCTGCTACCTATTTGTGTAAATAAAGTTTTAACGAAACACAGCCATGTCCATTCACTCTGCAAGAGCCAAATTGGGCAATTGTGCCAGAAACTGCACAGACCATGAAGCCTATTGTATTTTCTTTCAGGCCCTTTACAGAAAAAGGGCTGCTGACTCTTGGTGTAGCGCCTCCTCCTGGATTGTCCGGATGAGTGCAGGCCCGCATCCCCAGAGCTCACCCCGGGAACAGTGACTGTCCATCAGGGGCTTCCTCAATCACATGCAGGTGTCCTTGCCTGCTCACATGTCTAGAATTGGATAATTTGAAAGAAAAGTTGTATTTTGTCCCATGCTGTGGGTTTTATGCTCAGTATATCAGATCCTTGTGGTTTTAGGAGGAAATGTGAAAAGGTAATGCCTAGCAACAGCACCAGGGTGTCGAAATCATTATCCATGTTCCCTCCCCTGGTCTATCCTGCCCTCGGTGCTCCCATTCCGGTGAGGGGCAGCACAGCTGGGATTGGCTCCTCCTCTCCCTGTGTGGTCTCACAATTCCAGGGTCCATAGGAACCCAACATGATGGAAGTTAGAGGTGTTCATTCAAATATGAAAGCTACTTAACATTTTTTCTTAAATTTGTATACACTTAAGGAGCATAAATGCAGTGTTGTCACATGGATATATTGCACAGTGGTGATGTCTGGGATTTTAGGGTAATCACCACCTAAGTTATGTACATTGTCCCCATTAAGTAATTTCTCATCCCTCATCTCCCTCCCATCCTTCCTCCCTTCGAGTCTCCAGTGACAATTATTCCACATTCTGTGTCTGTGTATACACATTATTTAGTGCACAGAGTACACAGCTCATCTCATTTGACTTTTTCAAGGCTCTTGGGGAAGATGAGGTAGGAGTTGGCATTTATTTTCTGAGTGGAGAGACCAAATGCATGTGATTTGATGAGCCTGGCAGATCTGTACTCACCCCAAGGTGATGACACCTTGCTGCCCTTGACCCATAGACAATGAAGTGGCCAGGCTGTGTGGTTAAGAACAGCAGATAATTCTGTCTCACTGCTGGTGTCACCCATGCACAAAATGCTGGCTGGAGGAAGGGCTGGTGGGTAGTTGTTTTAAGTACGGAAATTGGTTAATGCCCCAAAGCCAATGCATTGAGTTGAGATTCTTCCCATGAAGCGCCGAAAGCTTTTACAAAAGCCATCAATCTCAGCCCAACAAGGAAAGAGAGAGAAGAGGCCCTGGGTTTTGAAGAAGGGAAATTGAGGTGTTTCAGCAGGTCCTAAAACTATACTCAAACCTCAGTCCAGAATGAATGGATTTTCATCTCATCAACATTGGTAGATGCAGCCCATTTAGCATGACATCATAAACTGGAGGAAGAAGAGTGCAGAGAGCTCATTAGCATGAGTTGTCTTGGAAAGCTTTCGGAACAAGTTCTGAATTAATTAAAATTTCATTTGGATGATGAGCACATGGTTATATTTATTTTATTCTCAAGCCTTTCTATAGTAACTGAGGAGGCTCCCCTCTGCAGAATGCCTGATGGCAGTGGCCCTGCCATACATCATTTGGAGGAACTGAGAGGGTTATTTTTAACTCCCCATTATTGAAGAAAACACACACATCTGGAACATTGTGGGGGTGACGATCAGCTGTTCAGATGAGAGATGGTTTGTGGTAGGCCGTGCATCATTTTCTAATTATTTTGACTCTGCTCGTTGCCGTAAACACCTTGGGCATCTAAAATCTGGCCCATTTAATCTCTAAATTGTATGCTCTCAGTCTGTCATGGAGTCTTTGTTTAATGCAATCTCTACTTTTATCAGGCAGTAAAACCAAGACAAATGGAATTCCGGTCAGTGCAGTAGCCTACCGTGGGTGCAGTAGGAGACCCAGCTGCAGATGGAGGGTTATGACATGGAAAATGTCTAGGGGGCTTGATGGTAGCTGGGGGTTTGAGAAAAGATGGATAGTTTTGAAGTGAAAAACAATTATTTATTTGCTTACAGTTGCCTAAGGAAGCTTGGAATTTTTTTAAATAGGACCATTTATGAGGTTGACAAAAGAAAGCTCGTTGTGACAATTTTCCATATGAACTTCCGACAGATGGTGTAGAGTGATTACACCGGCCACGCAGGATGGAAGGAAGTCAGCCAGATTCTTGCACCCCCTCATTTTCACAAAGCTGTGGCTCTCTCTGCATCTGGCAGTCTTTTTTCATTGAAACCATCCACTTCATTAATTCCAGGCAGGAGCCTGAATGGTGAATAAAAGCGTAAGAGTGCCTGTTCACTTTTGTGAGGTTGTGTCATGACAACACACACCAGCACTCACAGAGACTCACACAGGTAGCAGATGCCATCGGGAAATTACACCGGAAAAGTCAGTGCTGCCATACGGAGGTCAATTTCATATTTAACTTACATAGGTGGTGCTCTACATTTTGCATTTTATTTTATTTTATTTTATTTTATTTTATTTTATTTTATTTTATTTTATTTTATTTTTCGTGCAGATAATATTTTGCCATGTTACCCAGGCCACTCTTGAACTCCTGGGCTAAAGCAATCCATCCAACTTGGCCTCCCAAAGCGCTGGGATTATAGGCATGGGTCACTGCACACCCAGCCCACAATTTCACATTTTAGTATCTCAGGTCCTTTGTGAATCATTTGACACTACCTCATTATAATAGAATATTCAACTAGAAGATTTTAAACAAGAAAGATTAATTCACATGACAAGAAGCTAAAGCTAGGAAATTTCAGGTTTTGTTCAGCCATCTCCCAGGTCTCCAAGCACCCAGTTCTTTCTATCTTTCTGCTGTACCCACTGCATGTTGGTTGATCCTTGGTCTAGTCTCCTCATGGTCACAGAATGGCTGCTGGAGCTTCTCACAGCATATCATCACCTGCTTACTTACATTCAGAGGCAGAAAACTGGCAAGTTTTACTTTTTTTTATTTTTATTTTTTGTCAGGAAAAAGCTTTACATAAGCCTCAATTAGTGTCTTTCTTAGGTCTGCCTGGACAATATTGGGTCACCTGTCATCTCCAGAGGACCTGGGAAAGTGAATCTTTATTCAGTATCTATTCTGGGATGTGAGCTTGGTCAATCAGGAGGAAAGAGAAGGGGACCTGTGGATGGACACTCAAGAGGCGGCTCCAGAAAAAGGTTTTTAATTTTTGTTTCTCCAGAGAGGGGCCAATGATTAAGCTTCATCCATCATCATCTCTGATATTAATTCATTTACTAGATTCCATTCCTTCTGGAAGGATCTTCAGGTCTGATGAGGCTGGGGAAGGGATTTGGGACCAGTAAAGCAATGAGGTGGGGTGGGGAGAGTTCCTGGCAGGGCTGGGCTGGAGCTGTCAGTCAAAAGGACAAGGTTGTGCAGAACTGCTGTGTGGAGGAGAACAGAGGCCTGAATGCAGCATGCTGACCTGTTGTGTTCAAACTGTTCAGAAACAACTTTTTTTGGTTTTTTGAGACGGAGTCTCACTCCGTCACCTAGGCTGCAGTGCAGTAGTGTGACCTCGGCTCACTGCAACCTCCACGTCCTGGGATCAAGCAATTCTCCTGCCTCAGCCTCCTGAGTAGCTGGGACTACAGGCGCCCACCACCACACCTAGTTAATTTTTTGTATTTTTAGTAGAGACGAGGTTTCACCATTTTGGCCAGGTTGGTCTTGAACTCCTGACCTTACATGATCCATCTGCCTCAGCCTGCCAAGTGCTGGGATTACAGGCATGAGCCACTGAGCCCGGGCCAGAAACAACTTTAAAAAGTCATGGTTTAACAAAATTAGAAGCTCTCATATATGCAAATGAAAATTCCAAATTTTGGCCTCTTGTGAAAAATACAGAAGACAGGAGATACTGGGTCTGTGTCCTGGAGGCAGCACCTGAGGGGACATCTGTCATGGCCTCAGATCCAGGCGCACCACCATCCCCCTACCCTCACACCTGTGTCATGGCCTCAGATCCAGGTGCATCACCATCCCCCTACCCTCATACCTGTGTCATGGCCTGGGCTCCAGGTGCACTGCCATCCCCCTACCCCTCACACCTGCTCCCCAGGACTCCATCTTCCTGAAACATATGCCACTCCTGCCTCTCTCCTGGGTTGGGTAAACCAAGAGACTCAAGAGACAGCTGCCATTTGGAAGAGGGTCACCTGGAGCAGGCCCATGGCAGAAGCCCAATCAGAAATGCTGCTTCCTGCAGCTCATGGGGAGCTTCCTGCAGAGCTCCAGGCTCTGGGGCCATGGAGTAAAATGGCGTTGCCCACACAATCCACAAGGGTGCCTGTCGTGTTGTGCTCTGTGAAAGGCCTCACCTGCAGCACTGATTCCTGGACCCTGTGAAGAGGGGGTCTTTATGATTCCCGTTTTATAAATGAGAAGGCTGAGGCATGGGAAGTTGAGTCACTCTCCTTCATAACCAAAGGAGGACTCAGTCCCAGGCCTGTGTGACCTCAGCTGCCAAGACCTGGCCAAGAAACCTGATTCCAGAAACAGGAGCAAACACTAGCTTCAGCCTCTGGTGGACCTGGCCCAATGCTGGGTGGAGATCTCAGGGACCTGACTGGTCTTTTAGGGTGTAAAAGGGGGAACCAGTGGGTCAGGGAAGAGGGAGGATGGAGGATGAGGGACCATGGCAAGGTTGAGTCCAGTGTGATGCCTCCTATGTAGAGAGACCCCATCTGTGGGGGGGTCATGGCTGCCCACCTCATGGTGGTTCTGATGGCAAATGGGCAAATGTAGTGGTGATCTCAGGGCAAGTGCAGGCACAGTCAGTGCTCAGGAATGGCAGCCTATGAGCTGGCTACATTTCTCTTAAAATCACCAATTTCATTGTTGCCCAGCATGCCATCAGCCTATAGAGTCAGGTGCCCCAGATATTAAATCCCTGTTAATTAAGAGGGTCAAGTTATAAGTTCATTCACCAAACACTTGGTAAGCAAGTCTGAAGTAACAGCATATGCAAGCGCAAGGAGCACAAATATTATAACCTCTTACAGGAAAATAAACACACAAAAAACATACAAACAGGTCCCCATTAATATGGCCCCAAACGGCTAATGGAGATTCATTCTTATCTAATTATTAAAAGGGTTGTTTGTCAATGTTGGTCAATCTTATTTGAATTACCATGGCTACTATACACGACAGTACAAATCATTTTTTTTTTACAAAATTTGATAATTCAAGCGTTAATAAACATAGTCTTGTTTCCCTTAATTGATTAGCATTAAAGAGATTTAGCTGAACTTTTGAGCCCTCCTTGGCATTTTCTTTGTAAAAGACGCATAAGACTCCATAAAGAGGGAATCTGTAGCATTAATTGATGCTTGTTCATACTCCAACTTACCAGGCACATGTCTACTCCCCCAGAAGAACTTAGTCTTTCTTGTTAACATGAAATCTTAAGTTAGGTAAAAGGATAACAAGAAGATGTCTACCCTACAGTTAAGATTTGTGTGCCAGGCTGGGCGTGGTGGCTCACACTTGTAATCACAGCACTTTGGGAGGCTGAGGCAGATGGATCACAAGGTCAGGAGTTTGAGACAAGCCTGACCAATATGGTGAAACCCCATCTCTACTAAAAATACAAAAAATTAGCTGGGCGTGGTGGTGTGTGCCTGTAATCCCAGCTACTTGGGAGGCTGAGGCAGGAGAATCACTTGAACCTGGGAGGTGGAGGTTGCTATGTTGATGCAGGAATGAGCCATGTTTTGTCTTGGAGAATGGCTGTTGCACTTTTCATATTAAAGACAATATCAGATTCACAGCGTGCCACTGAGGAAGTTTCTAGACAACAGCATTTCTCTGCTCTCTGGGATGGATTCAGTTTGCTTCTAACGGCGACAGGAGATACTACCTGGGTGGACCCTTGGTATTCAACCAAGGGTCTCTCTTATCTCTGTCAACCCAGGGGTACTGATGGAATGGGCCTAAACTGCTGCCCTGACCACTCAGGGGCATGGGTCAGAGTTGGCCTGAAATACCGTGACCCCACCCCGCTTTGCCCGTGACTGGACCATGGTTGGGCACAAGCTGGAGTCCTGAACCCTTAGACAAAAGTAAGGTCAGAGCAGGGTAAGAACATTCAGATAAAGCCAGTCTTTCCAGGAAAAAGCCTTTCCTGGGGTAAGGGAGAAGTGACCCTACCCATCTTGCTTCATGTTTGGGAGGCCAGTGTCTCAGAGTTTGATGTCTGAACTTGCCCATTTTATAGCCACTTGGAGAAAGGCCAGCAGAATTGCAGAGACAGAGTCAGATACTCTTGGCATCTTCCAGCTGCTGAAAAACCCTGGGGCTGCCTGCTGCAGGCTGCCCCTCATGTGGGGAATTAAACATATGTTGTTAAAGTTGTTATTGGTGGGGATTCTGCTAGCTGTAGTGACACAAAAAGCTACTGTGACACACACATATATGCACGTGTTTTGGGTTAGAATCTGAATCCTGCCTGTGGTTTTGGGCTTGAGGCCAGGCCTTTCTGGGTTGAAAATAGATAGCAAGTGTTAGAAATGGTAAAGCTTTCTGTCCTTAAATGAAATTGTTTTCCTTTTTATAATGGGAAGGGTTGAAAAATAACTAAAAATGAAATAAAATATCTCAGTCCGTGTATTAGTCCATTTTTATGCTGCTGATAAAGACTACCCGAGACTGGGAAGAAAAAGAAGTTTAATCGGATTTGTGGTTCTACATGGCTGGGGTGGCCTCAGAATCATGGCGGGAGGCAAAAGGCACTTCTTACATGGCGGCGACAAGAGAAAATGAGGAAGACACAAAAGTGAAAACCCCTGATAAAACCATCAGATCTAGTGAGACTTATTCACTACCACGAGAACAGTAAGGGGGAAACTGCTCCCATGATTCAAATTATCTCCCACCAGGTCCCTCCCACGGCATGTGGGAATTATGGGAGTACAATTCAAGATGAGATTTGGGTGGGGACACAGAGCCAAACCATATCACTCTGTGATTCTGTGTTCTAACATTTTGTCTGGGACCACCTAAAATCACACTGCACATACCCCACGGGGAAGATCCACATTTTGGCAAACACATTTATAATACAGTGAACAGAACTGACATTTTTTAGTAACACTGAGCACATGTGAACTATTTAGACCAAAACAGAGAGTTTTAGAGGGTATTGCTGCTACCTAGCATAAATTAGTTCAATGGAGGTTTAGTCACTATGACACACACACACACACACACACACAGACGATTGTGGACTCCTCTGTCATTTTAGTACGAAATTTAAAGTCAAGGAATCAGTACATTGTTAATCATGACCTTGGATATCTCAGCTTATTTTCAGAAATAAAAGTAATTGTGGCAACAACCACCAGTTAGAATGCCAATGAGAAATGCCAACACAGCATTTAAAGAATGATGAAATAATACATATCTTTTAACAAGCACATTTATTACGACTGGGGATTTTCTTGTGGATTTTCGTCAGACTAACAGGGTGGTGTCACAGAGAAGAAACTCCATGCAAAGAGCTTAGATTTCCATACATTATTTTTCCTGAGAAATTAACCTAGATGCAGTGTTCATGTTTCTCATGTAGGTTCTAGGGAATTCTGGAAGTTCCTGTTGTTCTCACACTTTCTTTCTCACTCTTCCTAAAGATAAAATTGACTAATCTTCAGCATTTTATGCACTGCTCATGACTTTTGTCATATTTGCCATAATGCAGTATTTACCACAGTATAATATATAATGATATTTATGTTATTTACTTAAAATTATCTTTAAACATGCCTATTTAACTCTGATACATATATTTTAAAAGGAAATGACAGCTGCACTACAAATGGAAAACCGCGATCACTTACTGTAAGTAGAAGACAATTATAGAATAAATGTAAAAAAGGCAAAACATTTTGCTTAGATTCTCTGTCTGCTTACTGCTTTGAGGCTGAGTCCTGCTTCCTCTTGGTAAAAAGAAAGGTTAGTAAGTGTCAGATTGATGTTACAGACACAGAAGCAACAACAGACTGAGCCTTCCTACTCAAGGTAATCAGAAAAGCCCACTGTGTATCTGAAAGGAACCACTTCATTACTGTGCTCTTACGTGTTATTTAAGTTTCAGTTACACCACACTGAAAACCATCTGGCTTGCCATGTGAAGCTTCAGAAGTACACATCCCCCACTTTGTTTCTGACATTACCAGATGCACATGGGGATGGGCAGTCCCAGGGAAGCTGTCATGAGCAATCGAAAACACTAATGGCATTTTATTGCCCTGGGCCAAGGCTTGGGCTAGGGATGGGGCATGGGTCCCAGTTCTAGCCACTGAGAGACAAAGAGAGACCCACTGGGAATTCTTGGAAGATTGTTTTTTTCCATGATAAAATCAAATGCAATGTATGAAGCCTCTTCTTTTACCACATTTAGAGCCACAGTGTAAAGAGCTGATGTCTGGTGCTGTGGCAGCCATCATGTTACCATGAGGTACATACCTTCTAAGTAAACCACTGTGCAGAGGTTAGAGTACAGGAGGACAGAAAGAGCCTGGAACCCTGGTACCATATTTGAGTTTCTGGACCAATGTAGAGTTCACCTCCACCTCCAGATATCTCTCTATTTTTTTTTTTTTTTTTTTTTGAGACAGGATCTCACTGTGTCGCCCAGGCTGGAGTGCAGTGGCACAATCTCAGCTCACTGCAACCTCTGCCTCCCGGGCTCAAGCAAACCTCCCACCTCAGCCCCCTAAGTAGCTGGGACTACAGGTGTGTGCCACCATGCCCAGATAATTTTTGTATTTTTAGTAGAGACAGGGTTTCACCATGTTGCCCAGGCTGGTCTTGAACTCCCGAGCTCAGATGATCCACCAACTTTGGCCTCCCAAAGTGCTGGGATTACAGGCGTGAGCCACTGTGCCTGGCCACCTCCAGATATCATAATAAATAAATGCCAAGAATCCTTATGTCTCTACCCTTAAAGAACATGGACATGTTTGCTGAGTAGTTGGTCAGCTACTTGCAGCTAAACACATTTAGAGTAATACACTAGCTATTATTCATGGTTATTACCAATGATTGTCCTGTGGTATATACCACCAGTGTACTTTTCTTCCCCTTAATCAATACGAATTCCAACTATCTTTTTAGAAACTGCTCAAGATTTAATTCCAGGGAGCAGAAGCCAGGAAAGAATTTTATGGTTAGAATTCTTAAGGAAGCGACTTTGATAAAATAAAAACTATGCAGCAAATACACACACACACACACACACACACACACACACACACAGACACACACACACACAGACACACACACACACACACACACACACACAAATACCTGGTACCATATTTGAGTTTCTGGACCATATCTGGAGTTCACCTCCAGATATCTCTCTACTTTTTTTTTTTTGAGACAAGATCTTACTCAAATGCAATGTATGAAGCCTCATATATATATATAAAGATTATATATCCATATAATCTTTAAGCATTAATTTGGATTTGGTCAGAAAAAGAGAGTACAAGTTTTACAGGAATATAGGAGTTAGATCTTACACAAATATGGGTTGAGTTGGGGGACGGAGGTTTTGAAGGCTTCAGTGGAAGATTCCAGACAAAGGTGTTGATTTCAGATCTCTTCTTGCAGCACTAGAGAAGCAGGACCTCAGGAAGAAGCTCCATAAGCTGCCATGAGCACACATGGAGGCTCCTGGAGAGGACGGTGAAGCCACCCCCGGGCAGAATGGTGTCCAGGGGTCGATGTCTTCTGCTTCTTTCTGCCTACCAAATCACTCCTGGGTTCCCCTTAAACCAAGCTCTGACCAGTAGGCTCAGAGGCAAATAGATCAGGGAAATGTACCGCCCAGCCTTAGAAGAAGATGGTGGCACTGATGTGTCAAGAGGAAATATAGCACCTATATATATGTACCAAGGGAAGAGGGGGGGAAGTGTTCAAAATTACATTTCGTTCATTCATCCATTCAAAAAATACTTAACAATCACCTGCTTTATAGCAGTCACTGTCTTGCACCGGGATATAACACGGTACAAACTAGGTGCGATCTTTGCGATTATTAGGTTTATTGGTAGCAGTTGTTGCTGTTACATCTCACTGCTCTCATTGCAAATGTTGATGGTGGCTTTTACGTCTGTGAAAATAAAAAGCATGACCTTTTGATAGTTGTTTGCTGTATGGAAGCCTATTTTACTATGTTTGCATGCAAACTTCTATCTGACCTTAAGCTAATGGGAGCTTGTAAAGAGGTGGAATCGAATGTAAAGTTTGAAAAGACAAGAAAAGAGAAAAGGAAAGGGAAGGGATGGGGAGGGGAGAGAAAGAGAGGGGAGGGAGTCGGAAGAGAGGGGAGGGAGGGGAGGAGAGGGGAGGCAAGAAGGAAGGGGAGGGGAGGGAAAGGGAAGAGAGGGGAGGGAGGGGATAGGGGAGGGACGGGAGGAGAGGGGAGGGGAAGGGAAGAGAGGGGAGGGGAAGAGAGGGGAGGGAGGGAAAGAGAGGGGAGGGGAGGGGAAGAGAGGGAAGAGGAGGGGAGGGGAAGAGAGGGAAGGGAGGGGAGAAACAACAACCATATGTCTTTATTTCCTGTTAGCTCCATTTCTGGCCTTTGGTCTCTTTCTCGGAAAGCAGGCCTCAGTGGCCTCAGTTTCTTCCCAGAACCTGCAATGCCCCACCAAGGTGACAAGAAGTGCAAGGTAGTTAGCTCTCCTTCAGTGCTTATGAGTTGAAGGTGATAACATCTGAAGACCGGTTGTCACATTTGAATTTTTCTTTTTATTTCAGGAGTCGGTTTTCACTGCCAACCAAAGAGGTGACCCCCGCAAAGCAACCATGTTGGGACAGTCCATTTGCTGCGTTTTGATTATTTGCTAAGAGCAAATACCTTTTCTGTTTGGGTTTTGCTTTTAGAAAAAAAATGTGGCAGATGGTGGTGGCTTTCCCCGTCATTGAAAGAAGAAAGGTAGTAACTCTACTGGTGCACTCCTCTGAGTTGTGCTAACAAAGAAGAATGCTGAAAGAAAAGGGAAATGAACACCATTTTCAGGCAGCTTCTCCAAGTTTTTTTGACAGTGTTATAATTTTCCTTTAGCGACTGTTGAAGCAAATATCTGTATTTATGTTCAGATTAAACCGAGAGAGCAAAGACTGCTAAAGCCAGTAATTTCTGGGCTGCAAATGCAGGATAGCTCCAGTGAATTTCAGATTCTTAAAGGTTTTTGCTGTAGCGAATTCATGACACAAAGCATTTGGAGGGAAACCTATTAGAGAAGAAACACATCCTAAATGAGAATTACTGAGGACGGGAGGCTCTTGTCATTTATTGGATTAGTTATAGCACTTTACACAAGCCTGTAATATTTGTTCTGCTGCTGTGGTGTGACTGGTAAAATGAAAAGGTATGTCAAGGGAGTGCTTGACTGACGTTCTTATTTCTTCCGTCTTCTTATATTGCTGGGAGGATTCTACCACTGCAGGGCTAGAAATTAATATCACACTCATTTGATAGGAAGAGCAAAAGCAAGGTTATGAGTCAGAGACATTTTGGTCCCAGAACAATAACTCTATTGATTGAGTCAAATATGTTTAACTCCAACAGCAAGACCTTCCATCTGCGTGAAATAATCATGTCCGTTAATTGTAAACAGGAGCATCTTTGAAAGCTGAGCTAGAGGCGGAGCAACTGGTAAACCAGATGTCCCAAATTTCTAGGTTTGTACATTGTAATTGTTCTAGACTTGTGTGTGGATATTGGTAAAATGACATAGTCAGATATCTCACAGATTTTGTGAGATATGTCCAAAGTTCCCAAGTTAATTTATTACTAAAGTTAGAATTTCACTTACTGTGAGATTGGAATGCCAGCCAGCTACTGAACCTTATGTGTGCCTAGGGGCCATTTTGAGACAATTTGCTGAATATTAAAAGTACAACCAATAATGTTTCTCTCCACATCCACAATAGCGCTTAGAGGAAGCATCTGGGATTGAGCCATCTCACATCTGTCTAATCACATTCATTCAAATGTGATGGGCCCAACTGGCCTACGTACATGGCTGCATATCACCATGGGTGGAAATTAAATCAGAATTTGGCTCAGGAGAGAGATGAAGAGAAAATGCACGTAGATAATTGGCTCAGATAACATTCTGTTTCTGGAAGTCACAAAGAGTGGAAATTGGAATATGTAAATTAAAGAAAAACAGGTAAGAATTCACATGAACCCCAACCACACACCCTGTGTATGTTCTCATTCTCATTCTCTCTATGGTGCCTGTGAGCAGTTGGAGTTTGAATTTTTCAGTCAGTAAGGTTTGCTGTTTATTCGAGGGCTGCTCCTAAAAAATAATCAGGTCTAGTCAAGAATATAGAAAAGTGAAATTATGCATATTTTCCTGGGGAATATAATAGATGTTCTCATAGTCTTACAATGTAAAAAAAATGAAGGTAAGACTCTAGCTCCCTTTCTTCTATCTTTCTGGCCTCATTTTAGGCTAATATTTTCTTTTGCAACCATATACCAAATTATTACATATGGAAGCTGTGAAACTGAAGGTTCTGTAAAACTTTAAAGCCAGAGAACTTATGACTCCTCCATATAGGAAGAGAAATGGGAGAATATTAGGCTGTTTTTAATACTGGGCATCTGGTATTTTTCAGTCCTTAAGATCAAGTCCGCAATGGAAGAAGAGCATTCATCTGGTACAGGTTGATGATTGTGTAAGCCCAAGGAGTGATGTCAACACTGGGGTTCACCTGAGAACATGGACATGGTTGATGAGGGTTTAGGAGATGCTCATACGAAGTCTTCATATGTTCCCTGGATCCCAGCTCTGCCTTCCCACCAGAGAGGATGTAATTCAGCCGAGATGCCCAGAGTCAGCTCTCTGCTCATATCTGTTCCGCACTGAAGCCAATCATCTGAGAAACCTAAGAAGTGTTTAATGTAGTTAGGAAAGTGAGGGATGAAGACCATAAATTCCTTTTCATGTAGCAGAGTATATATGTGATACTCATTCTGTGGTATTTGGGGCATAAACAAGAGTCGATGAAGGAATGTGAAAGTACTCGAAATCCTGACTTTTATCTCTATAAAAATGGCATAGGGATGAAACACACTTGGTTGTTATGACTGTACTCTTTTCAGATTTACTACTTGCCTTTCTACTGATTTTTCTGTGCCACAGGTCTTGACTCCTGTAGGCTAAATTTCTCAGCCTCTTCTGCTCACTGATATATGGGAAGGTTTGGCCAAAGGTGGGTGACTGGTGGGGAGAAGGATGAGGGAATTCAGGGGATTGCTGAGCCCATTCTCTAGACAGTGCTGCTGGCACTGGCTCTGTCTTCTCCGTTTCCATCTCGCATCAGACGGTTCTTCCCTCTATGGGCCTAGTCCTACCTAGACACTTTCCAGTTGGATTCCAGTTCTGGGGATGCTCCCTCCTGCAGGGATCTAAGTCCTTCCCATTGTCTTCGGCTCCTGGGCTCAGCTAGAACCATCTTTTCCCATTGTCCCTGTGGTGCTAGGGCTTTCAGTGGTTATTAACGTCTGTGTTGTATCATCTTGCCTGAATTTCAGCTCTCTGTAACCAGTTCCCCAAATAAAATTCCCCCCATTTACCTACCTTCTGTGAGTCTGTTTGCCTGACATGACCGTATTAAGTATACCCGATATATTAGTGAGCTTCGGATGATATCACAATGTGCCGTAGACTGGGTGGCATAAAAAACAAAGGAATGTATTTCTCATTGTTCTGGAGCTGGGAAGTCCAAGATAAAGGTGCTAGCCAATTCTATTTCTGATGAGGGCTCTCTTCCTGGCTTGTGGATGGCCACCTTGTCACTCTATTCACACACGGTGAAGAGAGATAGAGAGCAAGCTTTCTGCTGTTGCTTCTTATAAGGGCACTAATCTCCTCATCATGGCCCCAACCTCTTGACCTCATCCAAACCTAATTCCCTCTCAAAGGCCCCATCTCCAGATATGTTGCAGCATAGGATGGTCCACAAACACATGTGGGACTTAGCGCCATCGCTTCACTGAGCATGAGCTCGGGAGCTCATGAGGGCTGTAGTGCCCAGACAGTGGTCCCCAGACTCCAGTGATTTAGGTAATCCCACCATATTTTTTTTATCATGCCACTCAAGAGTTTATTCATAACTGTGAACTTCCTATCCTGTTGTTAATGTTTTATTCCTGAAGTGAACTCAATATTTTTTCTTAAAAATAATTTCCGTTTCAATTTTTAGATGTTTTTGAAGTAGAAGAACACAGACAAGTTGCACAGCTTACATTTTACAAATTCCACATATCCAGAACGAGCAACAGAACATTACCATGCACCCCTTCCCAGTCACCAATTCCCCTCCAAGAGTAACATCTACACTGATTCTTTGCTTACAATCAAATAGAAGAAAGAGGAAATGCTATGAAGGGGTTCCTCATCAAAGAGGCTGTCCAAATGACTACTAATCACATGATACGTTCTCAACCTTCACCAAGGAAATTCAATACAATATCTCTATAGACTCACCACAATGACTAACACGAAAAAGACAAATATGCAAAATGCTGGCAACCAAAGTTTCCTTATATTGCTGTACCCATACCCTGTAGTCGGTACATCACTTTAGTAAACTCTTTGGAAATATCTATCAATGCTTGCACATATGCATATCCTATGACCCAGCAACTCCACTCCAAGGTACACATACAACCTAGAAGTACATGCAATTTATGATCTAGCATGCCCACAGTAGCTCTACATGTAAAGAAAAGAAAGCAGCATGAACAATAGAATAAATACAATGTAATATACTTACATAATGGAAGAATACACAATAATGAGATTTAAAGATATCTAACTATACATAATAATGGCAGTATATCATAAATATAATATTCAACGCAAAAAGCAGTCTTGAGACTATGTGCTTTTGACTGCATATAAATAAATATATTTAAAAAGAAATTTTCTACTGCTACCAGAAATGGAAAATCAGAATCACTTAAAAAGCAAACCTCCCTCCAAATTATTAAATCCCCCCAAATAATATTAAATCCTACCTATATTTGGTTGCCTACCAAATTTCCTTACCTAAGACCTCTTTGTTAAAAAGATTTTCTAGCGTAAGAGAGGTTTAATGAATATACCAGCGTTAAAATGAGTCTTTTTTCTTACAGTCACATGAGGTATTGAAAGAGAACTGGAAATGAAATTGCCTAATGAGTCATCAGACAGCAACTAAAAGTCTTGAACTGTGACAGCCACCAAAAGTACGAATAGCTCACATCCCTCCAGTGGTGTGAATCTGACATTTGATAGAATAAAGTGGGTATGGATGGCTAAGATTCATCATTATTAGTTCCGAACATAATAGTGATATGGGTTCAAGGCTCTCTGGTTAATGAATTCATTCCGTTTGAAAAGGCAAATGAGACTTCTTCAAGCAGCAAAGAACAGGCAGTGGCTCCATGCTGTGTGCCTCTTCTCTCACTCCCCCTTCTCTTACTCGCTCATTCTGAGGGAAGCCAACTGCCATGTTGCGAGCTGCCCTACAGAGTGGTTCATGGGACTCGAAACCAAAGGATGCCTCCAGGCTCCAGTCAATGGGGAACTAAGGTCCTCAGTCCAACAGCCCGTGAGAAATTGAACGCCCTGAAGCTACAGAATGCATTGGGAACTGGGTCTCCCCCAGTAGAGCTTTCCGATAAACCTGGATCCACAGCCACACCCACCTGACTGAACCTCATGAGGGCGCTATAGCCCGAAGCACACAAGTAAGTCACCTGCATCTGACTACTGACCTACAGAAACTGTGAGGAATGAATGCTTCTGTTTGAAACTGCTAAAACAAACGAAAACCCAACAAACCAACACAGCAAAAAATATTGCCTGAATAACTTTAACGCAAGCAGCACTCATTTTATGTTACCTGTGAGGTTTCTTTTTCTTTTTTCTTTCTTTCTTTTTTTTTTTTTTTTTTGAGAAGAAGTCTCTCTCTGTCGCCAGGCTGGAGTGCAGCGGTGCGATCTTGGCTCACTGCAACCTCCGCTTCAAACGATTCTCCTGCCTCAGCCTCCCAAGTAGCTAAGACTACAGGTGCCCACCACCACGCACAGCTAATTTTTTGTATTTTTAGTACAGACGGGGTTTCACCATATTGGCCAGGGTAATCTCTATCTCCTGACCTAGTGATCCACCCGCCTTGGCCTCCCAAACTGCTGGGATTACAGGGGTGAGCCACCGTGCCTGGCCTTCATTTTTAATTTATATATTTTTGTTTCCTAAGATGAGATCTCTCTGTAAAAAGAAAAACGATATCCAGGAACTTCCAAGATGGTAGCTTGCCTGTGGTTGAGAAGATAGTCTTATAGGCTTCAAGATCAATGTGCAGTCAAGGTGTGTCTCCAGAGTTATATCTTTTGTCTTTTTATGTAGCTGCTTTAACTTGGCAGTTTATCACTGAAAAAAAAAATGTGCTTTTCAATTACTCTTATTTCCTCTAAAATGTAAAGTCAATGCTGTTGGTTGGAATCCCATTTTTTTTTCTTTCATTGTGCAACGTATTTATTCTTTTTCTTATTTACCTTTCCCTATGGTTGAATTCTGAGAGTAATTTCTGGACAGTTTGGAAAATTGAATTTCAGGTTGTTTTTTTTTTTTTTTTTTAGAAAAAAAGAAAGAAATCAGTATTCTACATTCCCCTAATAGAATAGAAGTGATTCCCACAGCTGCTTCTTACGATTTATTGATGAGTTCAGGGTAAGTCTTCCTTGGGAGTGTCCTTTTATTTGTTATATTAAGAGTTGATAAGACAGTGAGGAATTTAATAATTTTCAGCTTAAGTACTGGAGCTAAGAAAGAAGTAACAATTTTTAAATATAAAAATACAATTAGGCACATATTTTCTTTTTTTCCTAGCATGATAATTGCATGTACTTCAGATATTAAATATCAACTGGTAGATGAATGGGCTTGACTCTACTAATTACAAAATAAGACATTCCATGGCCCATGGTCCAATCATGGTCAGTGGCTTAGTAGTCAATTAATGAACGAAAGAAAAAATGAGGGCTAAATCATAAATAAAAATGATAATAGCAAGACCTCCATGGAGAAGTCTCTAAACGGGTACCATCCATGGCTTCCCATGATACAGCAGCAGATTCTGTGCCCCAACCTCCACCCTTCTTCCCTGAACCCCCATCTCCTTCTGCCCATGGAATGGGGTATCATCCTCCACGGGTGGGAGGAGATGGGGGTTGAGGGAAGAGGCCTGGGTGTGGGGCACAGAAGTTGATTCTCCCTACAGGACTCGCTGGGGTAATCATAAAATTTTATTCTTGTTCTCTTCCTCCTGTTTACACATCCCATCAATTTCTGTTACTTGCTTGCAATAGAAAGGCCTGTATCATATCAGGGATTCAGTTTCAACATATTAATTTTGGGTAGACACAAATATTCAGTCCACAACAGACACCTTTTTAGGGGAGAATTTTCTAGTTAGGTTACATAAACTCAATGTCCCCCACCAAAATTCCTATCCCCCTTCTTGCTTAATTTTTTATGTTTGTGTTCATACCATGGAAAATATGTTACTTTATTGACTTTCCATTACCTTCTCTGTCTTCTTGAATATAGCTCTAAAATAAGAGCTTCATGAACACTCATGAAGTCAGAGTTTTTCATTTGTTTCATGAAGTCAGGGTTTTTCATTTGCTTTGCTCCCAGCTATAGCCTCATGTCTTGAACAGTGCCTCCCACAGAGGAGGGACTCAAACATTTGGTGGATGAGTTTTACACAACACTGGGACTCAATCACTGCAGCTCGCTGTCAACCTTAGAAGCTGACCCCTCTCCAGACTTTGCCCAAGAGGCATGTTTTTGGTGTGACGTGCTTTGTGGGAATCACTTGGTCCTCCCAAGACATCCTTCCTCTCTCACAACAAAAGACCTTGGACATATCAGTCATCATTTGGCAACCTGATGCCACATCCAGCAACCTGAAAACTGACCATTTTACAACCAACTATTAATATTCATGTCCACTTTATGGAGCTGTTAGAGGAAAACGCCTTCAGCAGCAAGATTTCTCAAACTTTGGAGCTCTAGAGTCACAGTTATTCAAATGACAAGTTCATGACATTTTGCTT
The DNA here is from genome assembly GCF_000001405.40 of Homo sapiens. Taxonomy (NCBI): domain Eukaryota; kingdom Metazoa; phylum Chordata; class Mammalia; order Primates; family Hominidae; genus Homo; species Homo sapiens. Next base: position 144,443 of record NW_003315940.1, read on the forward strand.
GGATGATATTACATTGATTTCTAGGAAGCAAGATGGTAATGATAAGACCTTCGTGAAATAAACATTCTGAGCATTGGAGGCAAAAGAGAAGACTGCATAGATATAAAAAGTTGGCATTCATGGGCCGTTAGAATGGGCTGTTAAATAAAAACTTTGGCTTCTGCCCATATGGAGAGTCAAAAGGGCATCGTCAGGGTGAAGACTGAAGATGAGGATGTGAAGAGGTCAATCTGAGCTTGAGAACCTCGAGGAGTGAAAAGGGTGGAACACAACACCCAGCTCTCATTTCACTTGGCTCTATAATCAGCAATAGATCCTCTCATGAGGACTTGGAGTCCCTGAGCAAACTTTCTCATAGGTTGGGTGAAGGAAGTGAAGTGATCAATTACATGGAAAATCAGACATACCTGATAGTGAAGCATTGTTTTAATGTCAAGCATGATCTAAGATCCCACTGAGGTCTTAGATCAATCATTAGCAGCTAATCAATCATTCTCTGCTTCTGGCCTAAACGATATACAGCTACTTATTCTTCCTTTGAGTTTTTCATTTCCACACTGTGCCTCAGTTTCCTCATTCATAGGATGTGACAATACCTATTTCACAAGTTGTGAATATATCAATAAAATCCTTAGAATAGGGTCTGAGACACAGTATGTGCTTAATGAGTCTATACTAGTACTATTGTATCATCTATTATTTAAGTGCTATTTTCTCTTTTTTATTCTGATTTTTCACATCCATTCCAATATCTAGTGTTTTCTGACTTTTTAATAATGGCCATTTTGCCTGGGGTAAGGTAGTATCTCATTTTGGTTTTAATTTGCATTCCCCTGATGATTAGTGATGTTCATGTTCGTTGGCCATTTGTATATCCTCTTTTGAGAATTGTCTATTCATGTCATTTGCCCACTTTTTCATGGGATTGTTTATTTTCTTCTTGCTTTTTTTTTGAGTTCCTTGTAGATTTTGGATATTAGCCCTTTGTCGGATATATAATTTGCAAATATTGTCTCACATTCTATAGGTTGTTTTTTCTGGTGATTATTTATTTGCTGTGCAGAATCTTTATAGTTTAGGTCACATTTATTTATTGTTTATTTTGTTGCATTTGCTTTTGGAGTCTTAGTTACAAATTCATTGCCTAGGCCAATATCCAGAAGAGTTTCTTCCTAGGTTTTATTCTAGAATTTCTATGGTTTCAAGTCTTAAGATTTAAATCTTTAATCCATCTAGAGTTGATTTTTCTATATAGCGAGAGATATGGCTCTAGTTTCATTCTTCTACATATGGCTATCCAATTCTCCCAGCAGCATTTATTGAATAGGGTGTCCTTTCCCCAATTTATGTTTTTGTACGCCTTGTCAAAGATCAGTTAGTTGTAAGTATTTGGCCTTCTTGGGGGGTTGTCTATTCTGTTCCATTGGTCTGTGTATCTACTTTTATATAAGGTTCTTCTTTTACTTGAAAGAGATTTCAGAGGAAAGTGGATTTTTCCCCATGTCTCTTATCCAAAATAGATGAAGAAAAGCCAGAGTAAGAGGGCCAATTGTTTCCAGAAAAGAAGTAGAACTTATAATTCTTTGTGAAAGTAAAGAGTATCCCTGAATCTTTTGCATGCCAATAACAGTGTTTCTTTAGAACGACCAGAATGTTCCACTCAGTTATATTCTTTGCCAGCTTCTTGTAAGCACTCGAACTGGAGATGTCTGGCCCACAGCTTCTGTGTCTAGAGACCAAGGGACCCCAGAGAGCATCCAGTCCAGTCAGATTCCAGAGCTTTCCAGCTTCACCTGAACACAGGGTTCGTGAAACAGACATTGGGATGGACATACATGTAGGTTGAGGTCAATGTTGGAGGTTTTCTTATTCTTTCTGCTCGTCTAAGCTTAGATGAACCACATAAATGTTTATTTGGGGATAACATATTTTTAAGTAAGTTTTTGGGATCTCTTTTGGCTCAAGAACCACATAAATGATTATTTGGGGATAACATGTTTTTAAGTAAGTTGTTGGGATCTCATTTGGCAGATCAAGTTAAAAATGGTAGTGGATTACCTTCCCTAGGGTTTGGCAAAATTGGAGTTTATTCTATCTCTACTTTGCAGAATGTCCAGTGTCTGGGAACATGAGGAATTGTATTATTTGGGACTGATGATTGCATTTTATAGAATATATCGATAGGTATGAAATAGGGAAATAAGAGTTGCAGAAAGACTAAACCTGTCTTGTGCTAATGAGAATCTTCTGTTTATTCCTTTCTTTGTCAATGTGCTGTTCCTCAATAGACAAGATTTGTTTAAAAAGATACAGATAAAAGTAAAAGGAGGAAACATCAAACAAGGCTGCCATGACTTTGGGGGCAATTGTAAGATCCATGGCCATCTTTGTTTTAAAGGCTGTATTTAATCTGCCACAGGGTTCCACATACAGCTCCTGATTAACACGTTTGTGTTTCTACCTTGCAATTTGCTTTATCATGTCCTGTTCTTTCCTTTTATCTTTCCACATTTGTATATGCAGCATCTCCTACATGCCAAGCATGATACTAGATGCTGAGAACACAGTGGTGAATTCAGCAAGGTCCCCATCCTTATGGAGAAGCAGAGACCATCAGGGCTCAAAGAAAATGCAATGATTAATACTCTAATGTAGTCTCCTATGAGACAAGCAATTTTCTGAGTATTTCGTATATGTTAACTCATTTAATCCTCAAAATAATTCTACAATAGGTACTGATATGATCTGCCCTTTAAAGATAGAAAAGGAAGTCACAGAAGGGATTAGTAACTCACTCAAAATCCTTCAGCTGGTAAGGCTTAGGAAGTGATCAGTGGTATGAAGACCAAAGCAGTGTGGTGTGATAGGGAACTGAGGATAAGAAGAGTTTTCTTACACAGAGTGGACTTTAAGTCAATGATATTGGAAGGTAGATCTATAAAAAATGAGAGAAAAATAAGCAAATCTGGCAATAGACTATTTGAGGCCATTACAGGAAGAGAAAGAGGTTAGAGGAGAGAAGGGCGGTGGACAGGTAAAGGAGTGGCAGGGGGTGAGGCAGGAAGTGTGGCAGGTGCAGGTTAGTACAGTCCTAAACGCCTCCTTAGAATTTTGGTCTGAGTGTGAGAAAAGGCAAGGGAGGTTTCTGAGCAGTGAGAAGGTGTGAGGCAATTCCTGCTTCCCAGGCCTCTCTGGCTACTTTGGGAAGCAGCTGCATGGAGAAAGAGGAGCAGGAGGAGGCTGTACTGTCCCCAGGATGGAGGTGAGGACAGGGCACCAGGGCAGTGTTAGAGAAAGTGAGGAGTTGTGGCTGGGTTCCGGGTATATTTCCAATATGGGGAAGCAAAAAATATTTGGTGAGGAATATTCCTGCCAGGATTATGCAAAGAAGAATGCCCCTGAGGAATCTATGAAACCCATTTCACTTATTTACGTTAGCTACCTGGCTAGTCATGTCCCCAGATTCTGTGCTGCACAATTGAATGGCAGATGGAGCCATTTATTGGGAGGAGAATGTTTGTAGGAGGAAATGAATTTGGGGAAGGGAAAACTAAGTGCATGAAAACTGCCTAAGTGGTAGAGGTAAAGTTCAATTTTAACTTGATTCATTTTCAGAAGGACCAGGGAAATCTAAACAGCAGAACCTTTGTGCAAAAAAAAAAAATAATAATAATAATATCAATACTAGTTCACCCCTACATGGTGCTTAAATGTGCCAGGCCAGGCATAGGTAGAAAAACTTCACATGCGTTAGCTCCCTTCATTCTCGCAGCTGACACCATCATCCCCATTTAACAGATGGCAGAGGTGAGGCACTGGCTGAATGTGCTGTTTGAGATTAGTCACAGGGAGAAGGTGGAGGCATGATGTGCACGCAGGCAATGTGGGAAGACAATGTATTATTATTATTATTATTATTATTATTATTATTACTTATATGTCAACCTGTCAATTTTTCTCAAAGGCTTATTGACTTAAATTAGTTTAGACATCCAAAATGTTCATTTCTTGGCTAAACAAATCTCATGTTAGACATGTCAAGGTATAGTTGATCTCAGATTATAGTGATTGATGAGGAATTCTGCATGAATCATCATTTTGAACTAATCCTACTTAATTGAATTTACAACATAATGTAGGTTGCTAACTCTTTTGACATGAGCACAAGTAAGGTACTTTCCATTGTTCCTAGGAAAAAAGTACCCTGCTATTTAAAAATTTAAAAATCTGTGTAAGTTTTAACTATATAATATTACCCAAATATACATATATTTGGAAATTCTAAAGTCCCCCTGATTTCTCAATTTTGTCTTTAAGCTTAATTGTTTTATCTCCAGAAACTCCAGAAGCTGACTCAGAGGTAACCACTGCTTTAGAACTTATTTAAAGGCAAGAGCTGATGAATTCAAACTCTTTTAAAATCCTCCCTTAGGCAAAGTTCTGAGCTCTCATAACTCATTTTACTGACTTTTCCTTCCATCTTTAATTTACATTTGGTGATATAGAGGAAGTGTTGTGTTTATTTTTTCGGCCACCTTTCCACTGAGCCTTTGTGATCACTATTATGTAGGACAAGATCTTGATTCTCGTTTTCTCCTGAGGAAAGTAGTCTGATACTTTTAAAAGAATCCATCGTTTGAATTGCATTCTCCACTGTCTCCAGTAGGAGAATGTATTTATGTTAATTCCACAGGAATGATTCAGGGATTTGTCATAGCCCTGGCCTTAGTTAAATGATCAGAGGTAGAAACTCTAAGGAAAGCTGCTATTTCACTATTTAATGTTTTATTATCCATGTGTCCAAATCTCCAAGGCATTATGGTAAATAATTTTGCACCATTTTTTTCCCTCATAAACAATAGATTGTTTTTTTTTTTCCCCATGCCTGTCTCTCTGGTCTATGGACTATGGAATGTACAGAAATTTCTTTGAAATAATGGCATCTTGAGGACAATTTTGGGAGGGAAGGTAGACCAAGAGAAGAAAACAGGACACTAAAAGATATCCCCAAGTCGCTAAAATGTACTTGCTGGTATCAGGGAAGTATTTTAGGTATCTTTACTTTGTACCTAATCCTGGGCCTGTTATAGGTTCTTAAAACAAAGGAAGAATGAAGAAAACCTTCCTTTAAATACTTCTTGACTCTTTTCCCTAGAGACTCATACAAACGGAGCTGCCTGTGCCAATGCTACTCTGGGATTTAAATGTACAAAGATATTTTAAAATATTTTCATGTTCAAAGAAAATAATGTCTGAGCTAGAAAAAAAGGGGCACCCAAGATAGTGCTCTACATATTTTATGTGTTGAATCAACCCAATAGTCTTTGGTTTTACCATTTTATAGATGATGACACTAAGGTTTAGAGAAGGTGAGTGAGTTACCCTGGGTCACAGGGCATGTTAGTGGTGAGGTCAGGGTTTATACCCAAACCTTCTAAATCCAGAATTAGAGATCTTACTCATGAGGCTGTCTTAAAGCTGGCGATCTCATTGGATAAGTTCAAAATGTTGCCACTTCCCTATCCACCCAAGCACAAAAGATCAGAGAGTAGAAGATTAGAGGCAAGCAGAGGCCACTGTTTTCTCGATTGTGAAGGGTCAGCCTTGAAAACATCATTAACAATTACACGTGACATTTAAAAAAATATTTTCAACCTCTTGAGGATATTCCCTTTGGTTCCTAAAATGCAGTTAGAAATTAGTATCTGGATTAGTATCTTTGATTCCTAAAATGCAGTTAGAAATTAGTATCTGGATGGCCTCAAAGAGAACAATTGAAGTAGAAATTTCATCCACAGGAAAGATCAACAATGAATATATAACAGCCAGCTTTCCTGGGGCCTGGAGGAAAGAAACACTCTGAGTTCACTTTTCTTGTATTCATGGGAAGAATGTATTTGAGATTCATACATATTTATATCAAGTAACGTATTAGAGTAAATGTCAGTTTTTCACTCTCTCTTTCTTTTTAACTTCACATGCAGAAAACTAAATGACCCATAAAGAAAAAGAAATGATTTTTTTTCTACCATGAAAGTTTTAAAATATGCAAACATCTTAAAACCTAATAGAGCAGGTTATAAAGTGAGTTTGGTGCATTTTCTTAACAGAGATTTTACAAGGTTTTATAAGGGTTTGGGTTGGTGTGGTGTTCAACATTTTATTCTATTGCATTTAGAAACCTGTTCATTGGGTGACTCATACTTCATAGCACTGTCATCTTCATAAATATTTGCTGTGTTGGGGTAAAGACTGAACACTAATAGATTTCTAAACCTATAGTTATAAACCTATAAACCTATAGATTTCTGTAATTGAGGGACAATCAGGATTATTCTTCCAAAGCTGTATTAGTCCATTCTCACACTGCTAATAAAGGCATACCCAAAAGTGAGTAACTTATAAAGGAAAGAGGTTTAATTGACTGACAGTTGAATATGGCTGGGGAGGCCTCAGGAAACTTACAATCATGGTGAAAGGGGAAGCAAACATGTCCTTCTTCCCATGGCGGCCAGAGAGAGAAGTGCCAAGCAAGAGTGGAAAATTCTGTTATAAAACCATCAGATCTTGTGAGAACTCACTCACTATCAGGAGAACAGCATGAGGGTAACTGCCCCCATGATTCAGTTATCTTTGACTGGGTCCTTCCCATGACATATGGGGATTATGGGAACTACCGTTCAAGATGAGATTTGAGTCAAACCATATCAAAAGCTACCTGTAATTTGTATGATTAAAACTTTAATTCGAAGTTGAGGGCATAGTGTTTAGCTAAGGGACATTTAATCACTATTTGGGTCTGCCATTTATTAGTTTAAATTAATGCTAGCTGCAGACACAGATACACCCTTAAACCTCTGTGGCTTAACCCAGACAGAGTCCAGTTAGTTGCAGGATTAAGGGGAATTCTGCTCCACATAGCCACTGAGGTTCCAGGTTCCTTTCATTTTAGGGCTCTGCTACCCCCTAGGGTCCTTCTACCCCCCAGGGTCTTAACTGTCCTCGGCTGAGTTCTGTATATCTCACCAGGTGGTGGGGAGACAAACCAGGAAGTGGATTATGTGGGAAGATTTTATGAACTATGTCTAAAAGTAACACACACGACTTCTGCCACATTCGTTAGACAGAACCTAGGTACATGAATTTGTCAAGCTACAAAGGAGATTGGAACATGCAGTAGAGCTGTGTGCCCAGAAGAAAGTGGCACTGGGTTTTGGCAGCCAGGTATCAGTATATTCCACAGTTTCCAGCTGTATATTTTGGTAGTATCCGCTGCTGTGAATTGACATTCCTAACACAACATGCAGAAAAAAGATGTTCCCAGTTTCTCTGACACAAGGGTATGAACACATGAACTTGCTTCTACCATTCAGACACCTCAGCATGAGGCATGACTGAGCAGCAGAGAGAAAAAGCACAGAGCATCTGTTCTGCAGTTATAGATGTCTGAAGTAACATATTTCTGGAGTCATGGGTAGTGCTGGGTGCTTCCCCCTTATGTCAGAGACATTGAGAGTCTGTTAGCAAGCAGGTCTTAGGAAGGGGTTCTGGTGTTGGGGGTGTTCCCAGAAGCTCAGACTAAAATCTATCTCTCCATTGACTCCAACAATGCTGTGAGCCTCTTCATATCCCTTAATACTCTGAACCACAAAAATTTAAGACAGGTCTCAGTTAATTTAGGAAGTTTATTTTGCCAAGTTTGAGGATGCGAGCCCATGACACAGCCTCAGGAAGTCCTGACGACATGTGCCCAAGGTGGTCAGGGCAAAGCCTACTTTTACACATTTGAGGGAGACACGAGACATTGATCAATACATGTAAGAAGTACATTGGTTCGGTCTGGAAAGGCGAGACAACTCAAAGCAAAGGCAGGAAGCCAGGAAGCCAGAAGGGGGCTTCCAGGTCACAGATAGGTGAGAGAGAAATGAACCTTTGCATTCTTTTGAGCTTCTGATCAGCCTTTCCAAGGAGGCAATCAGACATGCATCTATCTCAGTGAGCAGAGGGGTGACTTTGAATAGGAGGCATATTTGCCCTGAGCAGTTCCCAACTTGATGGGGTCCAAGATATTTTCCTCTCACAATACATTCTTGCTGCTTCAACAAAAGTGAATCTTGTTTTCTGCATCTAAGAATGTTGTTTTTATTTAATTCATCTCACTTATGAGGGAAAAAAAGCAAAAAGACACATGCACTTCAGTGTATAAATCCAACCCTATCAGACTTTGGACAGCAAAGGGATTTCTCTAGAACATTTTTATTAATTTATCTCCTAATATTAAAACATTGTGGGATTTCATCCAATATTTTGGTATTTTACTTTCCTTGAAAAATCAAACAACACGAAGAACAGTAAGGGTTGTGGAATCGTAGCTCCTGAGTCCTAATCCCGCAGGCCAAGGGTACAGCTGGAGTCATGATGCAACGAACACATCTCCATTCCATGACCTTCCGCTCCCTTATTAACCACAAAGAGAGCGCCGAGCACACCTGCCCAGGCACTGCTTTTCTGAATGGTCCCTCCCCACAGAACAAGGAGAGATCACTGGGGCAGACTATGAGCCTTGGAAGGTTCATCTTGATTTCTTCTGTTGAGAAATCTCATTTTGTGCAGTGCTTCTGTGTTCTGTGTGTCTCTGAAATCCGATATGAACTCGACCTCGTCAGAGAGCAAGTGAATGAGGAATCCATCCCCAAAGAGGACTTATTTCTCCTGGTTGGATTTTTCCTCTTGGTGCACATGGAAGCTCTCACTTCACTCTTTTTGTGTGATGACTGATGATGCCTCACATATGTTTGATCCATGGTCATTCATGGGGATGGGTGTCAGTGGATTCCTGAACTCTAAGAACCAAGCAAGTGTCCACCCCAAGTGACCGTGTTTGGTGGTGTGGGTGCATCTTTACATAATTACATGAATCCTCATTCTTCATAGGGCTGGTAAGCCTCAGCATTGAGTATTTATTCTTAGTCATTTCCAGTGCACATCAGTTTTTAAAACTACCTCTTGGATACTTGAGGAGTGGCTTTATAATTGTTAAATTCCCTTAAATATATTCTTTGGCAACATCATGCTATTGAAAGGGCTTTACCATTTGAGACACAAGGTAATAAAGGTCTCACTAATGCACATATGCCTCACTCTCCTCTTTACAAGGGATTTGGCCCAGCACCAGAGGAAAGCAATTGGGCAAAATACACAGAAATAACAACCACCAGCAGACATACGCTCTCGTACTGCACTTCTGTGAATGTGGAAAATAACTGTTTTCCTGATGATGTGATTTCACACAAACCTTTCATTCTTGGAAGAGACTTTATAACTAAATAGGAGTTTGTAAATTATAAAGAATTCACTGAGGCTATTGAGGCTACTAAACTTGATCAAAGAGAGGTAATAATTAGATCACAATCACTTATACTGGCTTTTACCTTCCCAAGATTTTGAAACATTTTCATAGGCATTATCTCTTTACCTAGAATATTAACATCAGACCCCTTATTTTTAATAATTGCAGAATAATTTTAATAACTCCAATTATTAGAAATAAATCATTTATGTCTTAATTTCTTTCTAATAATAATTCCAGAATTATTATTTCTAATAACTCTAGAATTAACTTTCAGCTGAAAGAATTAATTTTATAAACTTAAATTTTACTTTATAAATACTTAAAACATCAAATGATGTGGTAACATACTCATCATTACCTCATCATTGATGTTTTAAGTATTTATAAACAATTTCACTCCTCCTCCCAAAATTGTTCATAACCTCAACAAGATAAGCAGGAGAGTCATAATTTTCTTCATTGAAAGATAAAAGGAACAACAACAAAAATTAAAAACAGAAATGATTAAAAGTAAAAAAGCCTATTTTATAGGCATTAAATTAGGACATTTAAAAATTAAGATATGGTTCATATACAAAATTAACACGGTTAAGCATTATTCAAAGTACACTTTTTGGGGAACAATTTGATGGAGATGTAAATAATTCTGTGAAATATTGTGAGAAAGCTACAAGTTAATTTGTTTAGTCAGTTTGTCTTCCTATAAGCATGTGTACCAATACTCCCATACTCTGGTGAACCCGTGTCAACATTTTCACAGACATGGTCTCTTAATGGTGAGATTATAGGGGATTTTGTTTTCTTTGTAATTTTGTTTTGTTTTCTAAGTTTTTTCTGTTGATTAGACTTTGTAATTAGAAAAGGCAAACTGTAAGATTGAAAACCATTGGAATAGATTAGATTATAATATTTTATTTCCTCCTTATAGTTGCTCCAAGTTATATAGTCACTACAATAAGGTAGCTGGGAAAAGCCTGGACTTGTATGAATGTTTTGGAGAAAACATCGATAAATCCCCTTTTCTCTCCTAATTCCTGATCATAGTGACTGCTCAGAGTTACCATGAAATAGTTCAATCCATGATGACCCATGCACCATAGCACTGTGCTCTGTCACTGCAATAGTCTAACTAAATGTTTATGTCCCTCCAAAATTCACATCTTGGAACCGCATGGAGATGGTATTAGTAAATGGAATTTTGGAGAAGAGATTAGGTCGTGAGGGTGGAGCCCTCATGAATGGGACCAGTGGCCTTTTAAGCAGAAGCCAGAGGGTTGGCTCGCTGTCTTTCCACCATGTGAGGATACAACAAAAAGAAAGAAGTCCACAACCTGGTAGGGGGTTCTCACCAGAATGCAGCCATGTTGGCATCCTAATCTCAGAATTTCTTGATTTCTGGCTTAATTTAATTTTTTACCCAAAAGTCATTTTGGAGCAGATTGTTTAATTTTCATTTAATTGTATAGTTTTGAATGATCTTCTTGGTACTGATTTCTATTTTCATTGCACTGTGGTCTGAGAGTGCGGTTGGTATGATTTCAGTTCTTTTGAATCTGTCAAGAATTGCTTTAGGGCTGAGCGTATGGTCAGCTGTAGAGCATGTGCCATGTGCAGATGAGAAGAATGTATATTCTATTTTTTGGGGTGGAGTCAGAACTGTGAGAAATAAATGGTTGTTGTTTAAGCCACCCAGTCTTTGGTAATGTAATTTGTTGTAGACTCCCGACCTGACTCAGGCAGTCATCATTCAAGTGTTCAAATCCCCATGATGCCCCAGGGCATGTTGTTTCCCAGCAGGCCATGGAGCACCATCTTGTTTCCCAGCAGGCCATGCAGCAGGAAGTTGGTGCCCTCCCAGTGGGAAGGAGCCAACATCAATGTACTGCCTGCTGCTGGGGACAGTTCTGAAGTAGCAGCCTTCTTTTTCATATCCACACCACTTAACAGCTTAACTGTGCATATTAGACTTCTGACTAACAGAGATGTCTCCCAAGGTGGAAGTGTTGTTCTCTCCCACAGAAAATTCTACAGGCTGGCAGTCCAGGACCTCCTCTATCTTTTGATGGTAACAGAGACTAGTTTGGTGCTCATCAATCTCCTTTCGTCTTCCTGGAAACATAGAATAATCTGCATTTCCCAGCCTCGCTCATGAGTTAGTGCCTTGTGACTGGTTCTGTACAATTAAATATGAGTAGAAATAGTTTATGTTACTTCTAGGCCTGGCCCTAACATGCCTGTGAGGTCATAGTCATTGGCTCATTTTTTTCCCCTCTTCTTTTAAAGAGACTTTGGAGGACATGTATTGTATCTGGCAGCTTCACAGAAACCTCTGAGACCTGAATCACCCTTGGGAGGAGAGCTGTCAAAAAGAGCACAGTGTCTCATGCCTGTAATCCCAGCACTTTGGGAGGCCGAGGTGGGTAGATCACCTGAGGTCAGGAGGTGGAGACCAGCCTGGCCAACATGGTGAAGCCCCATCTCTACCAAAAATACAAAAATTAGCTCGGGATGGTGGTAGGGGCCTGTAATCGCAGCTACTTGGGAGGCTGAGGCAGGAGAATTGCTTGAACATGGGAGGCAGAAGTTGCAATGAGTTGAGACTGTGCCATTGCACTCCAGCCTGGGTGACAACAGCGAAACTCCATCTTAAAAAAAAAAAAAAAAAAAGAGCTGCCTGACCTCCTTTAGATGGTTAAGACACTAAGAAGGGCATATTTGTTAGAGCAGCCTGTGTTCATCACCCTGACTACACTTCTCTGCCCTCCTAGGGAAGGATCTTGTCTTCAGGTCCTCTGAATGCCCACTCACGAGGCCAGAGCTCCTTGTAGAGTCATATTCATATTCTTGGCAGCTGAAAGGAAGAAGGATGCACCCTCCTGCTAAGTCAGCTACGTTGAAAAGAGCCTTCAACTATTAGTTGAGTGTCTTCCACACTGACAATCAGAAGAAATAGTCTTAGGGTTTCAAAATTGTTTAACCTTTAAAAGTGGTCCACATATTTCTCAAATTTGAAAACCATGACCTTTGTTCACCTATTTTTCCCTATCTGTATTCCTGAATATTAGTTGTTTCAAAAAGAAGGAATATCTAAATATTTCAGATTTATCCTAAAAGAAGTCTTGTCTCAATGCAGATGCAGACTGCTTAATTCTGTCTTTCCCTCTATGGTCAGAAGGAAAAAAACCATTACGGGGTCAGTGTGTTCTGAGTGGGTCATCTGTGTGAGGTCATCATATTTTTCAACCTGGATCTCACCTGAGGATTCCAAGGTTCTCTTGAAGCATTATATTTAATTCATTGTTAGTTATTTTAGAAAATATTTTCCTGCAAGTATTTTCTTGGAACAAACTGTTTTATGAAAGTCCATGTACCATATAATTTGCACTCCAACTAAAATTACTTTTCTTCATAATAGTTAGACTTTTGCAGGTGCTTGTTTGTTTGGTGAACAACTGTGGAACAGACAAATGATGCTTCTAGAAAATGTGTTTTATTCCATGAGTAGCATTATTTGGGTTAGAACAAGATTTTTAATGAATATTGTCAAATTGTCAGTGTACTTATACCCTCCTTCTTTCTCAAGTTGTCATTCAGCTAAAACCTAAGTTTGACTTTCTTTCACTTGTTCTTTTATTTCTTCAAGCATTTCCTTTTTGCTTACTATGTGTTGGATACTGATCTAAGAACCAGGGAGATCACGATAAATGATATGGGGTCTTAACTTTATGGAATAGATCAGTGAAATTTCTTTCTTTAGAATAAGACATAAAACCCAATATAGGCTTAGTACTCAAAAAGAGTTCTTATTAATTACAATAATTGCAATCACATTCAGTGTTGGAGGTAGCCTTTGCCAGTGATTTTGTGGGAGGCATGGAGTTGAGCAGCCAACCTCTCCCCTCCTAGCTAATGTGGGTTATCAAGGCATTTCCTAGGTTAGAATAGAAATGAGGCTCCCTTAGCTGTCTCTTGGAAAGTCCAAATATAGGAGGGGGCTTTGAATGCATCTCTGAGGTTGACTAGATTCCAGCTGATGGAAATGGAAGCAAAGAGTGCTCCAGGCATAGGCAGGAGTGTTTGAAAAACCCTAGAGTGAAGAAATGACACAACTTGTTTACTGAATGTTGATGAGTCTAGTTTCGATGAGGAACAGGGGAGAACTGAGAGATGACACAGAAAATGTAGGCTACAGCGATACTGAATAAGGCTGGGATTTCAGACTGAGAGGTGGAAGTGCAATTTTCTATTGAATAGAGAATATAGGGGTGATAAGGGGCACAGGTTTCCCTGACACTGGGCACTGAAATTTACTTGCAGTTGTTGCCTAGGAAACATGTATTCATTCTGTGTCTGTGCCCAGGTGCGTGTATGTGCAGGTGAAAGTGTGTGTGTATGCATGCAAACTTGTGCATGTGCTTGTGTGATGTGTGTGTGACTTTGACGTCTAGATTGATATCACTTCCACTTCTGAAACCCACCTTCTGATTGAAATCTCTGGTCTTAACAAGGGCATAAACCCCTGTGATCCAGCTGTCCTGCCTGGTAATGGCTTTCTATTGAATGTACAGATTTAGTTCTCAAGGATCATCTGTTCTAAGACTCATGCTCCGATTATTGAAATAAATGCACTTTTCAGAATATAATTTTTCATTAATGGCTGTTAAGTCCTAGAGCTGATCATTTTAAACCTCCCCAAACCAACCACAGTTTATCAGTCACCTGTAGCCCTCATTGGAAGACCAAGGGCCCTTCTTATATTTTAGAGGTTAGTGTTACCACTCACATCAATTCACATCATGCAAGTTACAGTATATGGCAACCAAATAAATGACAAACAGAGAAATAATAAACATGAACTCCCTGCAAGTGATCCTTATATGGTCTCTATTCTAAATTTTTAGAACGGCTTTCATTTTAGGGAATTTTATTTTGTTCAGTAAATGCATTCAATAAGCATATAATTTAAGGTGATCCAATATTTATAGCATTGTAAATATTCTCCTAGTTATACATTCACAAAGCAGGGTAAACATATTACATATGACATGCCCTGTGCTTAGTTTTGACACATAAGATTAACTTAGTTGACCCGGTTGTTTCTGGCATTTTTGTTCCCTAATTTCTGTGAGTGTCACCAGGATTTCACATGGGATCTCCTGGTGTTTTGTTGTATTAAGTGGCTGGTTTGAAACCATCTTTCTCTGTAGAAGTCTTTCCCCATTATTCTGAGAATCCTTGAGGCTTATGCTGGCTTGAAACCATCTTACTCTGTAGAAGTCTTTCCCCGGTATTCTGAGAATCCTTTAGGTTTATGATCATATTACTGTTTTGGCTCCTATTTCTAAGCTTACTCTCTCTTTTGGTGTGGGTACAACCCAGGTTTTAAACTCAGCCCCTTCCTTCAATTTCACATAAAGCTTTACTTACACAAAGATTCTGCAAGTTACAGCAGACTCTGCCGAAGTTGGATGGGGAATGAAGAAGACAAAGGGCGAACATTACGGAAATGCTGATAGTTGAAAAGTGAGCATGAGGCATCCCTGTTAATCAATTTGCATTTAAAACATCCTTTAGTCCCTTGGCCTTAGGGAAATGTTCTCAGACCACCTTGCCTCCCACTCTCTATGAGACTCTTGTTTTTGGTATGGCCACTAAGCCAGAATGTGCATGGCAAAAGGGGGTTTGGCAGAGAGGCCTAGTAGGGGCTGAACTTTGTATCATGCTCTGCTTCCTAATGTCCTGGTCTGGATTGCCTCAGCCTGTAGTAAGATATGCTTTTTCTAAGGCACAAAAAGTGCCATGCAATAAACTAGAAAACCTAGAGGAGATGGATAAATTCCTGGAAATATACAACTCTCCTAAATTAAACCAGGAAGAAATAGAAACTCTGAACAACCAATAGCAAGCAGCGAGATTGAAATGATAATTAATAAGTTACCAACAAAAAAAAGTCCAGGACCAGACATGAATTATATCAGACATTCAAAGAAGAATTTGTACCAACCCTATTGACACTATTCCAAAAGATAGTGAAAGGGAGAATCCTCCCTAAATCATTCTATGAAACCAGTGTTACCATAATACCAAAACCAGGAAAGAACATGACAAAAAAAAAGAAAACTACAAGCCAATATCCCTAATGAACATAGATCCAAAAAATCCTCAACAAAATACTAGCTAACCAAACCCAATAGCATAACAAAAAGATAATCCGCCTTGATCAAATGGGTTTCATACCAGGGATGCAGAGATGGTTTAACATACGCAAGTCAATAAATGTGATACACCACATAAACAGAATTAAAAACAAAAATCACATGATTATCTCAATAGATACAGAAAAAGCATCTGACAAAATACAGCATCTCTATATGATTAAAACCCTCAGCAAAATTGGCATAGAAGGGACATACCTTAAGGTAATAAAAGCCATCTATGACAAACCCACAACCAACATTATAAGGAATGGGAAAAAACTGAAACATTCCCCTTGAGAATTGGAACAAGACAGGGATGCCCACTCTTGCCACTTTTATTCAACATAATACTGGAAGTCCTAGCCAGAGCAATCAGACAAGAGAAAGAAATAAAGGGCATCCAAATTGGTAAAGAGGAAGTCAAACCGTCACTGTTTGCTGATGACATGATTGTACACCTAGAAAACCCTAAATACTCATCCAAAAAAGCTCCTAGAACTGGTACGTGAATTCAGCAAAGTTTCAGGATACAAAATTAACGTACAAAAATCAGTAGCTCTTCTATATACCAACAGTGACCAAGCTGAGAATCAAATCAAGAATCCAACCCCTTTTACAATAGCAAAACAAACAAAACAAAACAAAACAAAACCAAAAACTTAGGAACATACCTAATCAAGAAGGTGAAAGACCTCTACAACGAAAACTATAAAACACTGCTGAAAGAAACCATAGACAATACAAATAAATGAAAACACATCCCATGCTCATGGATGTGTAGAATCAATATTGTGAAAATGACCATACTGCCGAAAGCAATCTACAAATGCAATGAATTCTCATCAAAATATCACCATCATTCGTTGCAGAACTAGAAAAAACAATCCTAAAATTCATATGGAACCATAAAAGAGCCCACATAGCCAAAGCAAGATGAAGCAAAACAACAACAACAACAGACAAATCTGGAAGCATCACATCACCCGACTTCAAACTATACTGTAAGGCCATAGTCACCAAAACAGCATGGTACTCGTATAAAAATAGGCATATAAACCAATGGACAGAATACAGAACCCAGAAATAAAGCCACATACTTGCAGCCAACTGATCTTCAACAAAGCAAACAAAAACATACAGTGGGGAAAGGACACCCTATTCAACAAATGTGCTGGGATAATTGGCAAGCCACATGTAGAAGAATGAAACTGAATCCTCATCTTTCACCTTATACAAAGTCAACTCAAGATGGATAAAAGATTTAAACCTAAGACCTGAAACTATAAAAATTCTAGAAGATAGCATTGGAAAAACCCTTCTAAACATTAGCTTATGCAAAGATTTCATGACCAAGAACCCAAAAGCAAATGCAGCAAAAACAAAGATAAATAGATGGAACTTAATTAAACTAAAAAGCTTCTACACAGCAAAAGAAATAATCAGCAGAGCAAATAGACAACCCACAGAGTGGGAGAAAATCTTCACAGTCTATGCTTCTGACAGAGGACTAACATCCAGAATCTACAAGGAGCTCAAACAAATTAGCAAGAAAAAAAAGCCCATTAAAAATTGGGCTAAGGACATGAAGAGGCAATTCTCAAAAGAAGATACACAAATGGCCAACAAACGTATGAAAAAATGCTCACCACCACTAATACCAGGGAAATGCAAATCAAAACCACAATGTGATACCACCTTACTCCTGCAAGAATGGCCATGATCAAAAAATTTTAAAAAATTGATGTTGGCTTGGATGTAGTGAAAAGGGACAATTTTACACTTCTGGTGGGAATGTAAACTAGTACAATCACTATGGAAAACAGTGCGGACATTCCTTAAAGAACTAAAAGTACATCTACCATATGATCCAGCAATCCCACTACTGGGTATCTTCCCAGAGGAAGTCATTATATAAAAAAGACACTTGCACATGCATGTTTATACCAGTACAATTCTCAATTCCAAAAATTTGGAACCAGCCCAAATGTCCATCAATCAGCGAGTGGAAAAAGAAAATGTGATACACACACACACACACACACAAACACACACGCACACCATGGAATACTACTCAGCCATAAAAAGGAACGAAATAATGACATTTGCAGCAACCTAGATGAAATGGGAGACCATTATTCTAAGCAAAGTACTCAGGAATGGAAAGACAAACATCATATATTCTCATAAGTTGGAGCTAAGCTATGAGGATGCAAAAGCATAAGAATGATATAATGGACTTTCCAAACTTGGGGGAAAGGGTGGGAGGGGGGTGAGAGATAAAAGACTACGCATTGGGTACAGTGTACACTACTCGGGTGATGGGTGCACCAAAATCTCAGAAATCACCACTGAAGGGCTTACTCATGTACCAAAAAAAATTAATTAATTATTTAAAAAGTCCATGCAAGCTAGCCCTTCTCTGCCCATTGCATGCTCTATTCTTCCTTTAAATCTTAGAAGTAGTGCCAATTTCCTCATTTTCTTAGGAAGAGCAGCCAAGCAATGCTTTTTGTTTTGCCTGTTTGCTCATTTGCTCTTCTGCTTATACTCATACTGGCAAGACATTCAGTCCAAATGCTTATCTAGGCACCTTCTGAAGCAAAGAGTTTCCTTCCTTGGAATACTTCTGCTGCTACCTCTTAAGTCGATAATACTTGGTTACCATGCTTTTCTTTGCTTTTTTATTCTCTCTCTCCTTTGCTGCCTGGTTTAGGGCTGATTAACGTTTATTCTTTTGTTTTTCCGCTCTTCCCATCTGTAGTTTGGACGTTTGATTTTGTATTTCTATTCTTTAACTAGCTGAATTTTGCTTTGTTATATTGTATTATTCCTGTAATTTCTGATTATAACTTCTTGATTGTCTTACCTGTGCTAGGGTGCACTGAATACCTGCTGGAGGAGGGGTTTATTCAGGGCTGCCTGCCACACACACATAAACACACAGACACTTTTAGTCAACATGTGGGTCTCCAATTTTCTGAGGCAGCTTTTCATTTCTTTTCCTCTGTCTCCAGTTCCTTTGTGCTTCTTAATTATCCCCAGCCGAGCAAAGCTTGGAGGTCTGCCCAGGGTTCCCATCTGCCAGAAAGGTCTGAGGCCACACCTGCAAGGAACTGGAGCTTTCACACAGGTTCATAAAGGCTTCCGACTAGACACTTCCTTTGCAGCAATTGCAGCAATTTATGACTTTAAATACAGTGTGGAAAACATCAAAACAAACCCTTTGCATAGATATTCTTTTTCATTGCTTGCCTACAGCTGTCTTGCAGTGAGGCAGGAAATGATGCTACCTGCTTTGACTACTTTTACTTTTCATAATGCCTAGAAATAAGCTATTTTAAAGGGTTGTATGGACTAGACTGTTTTATCAAAAGCAATTTCCACTATGAATGATTTTTAATGTCTCAACTCTAAGATATTTTTGAGTTTTAGCACTGATATTTTAGTTTTGCATTGTTAATTTGTTTTATTGATATTAAACATTTATATTGTATTGCTTGAAGTCATTTGGAAGTTTATTTGAAATTGAAATTGTCAAGTAAAGTTAGGTAATGGGATTGCACCAGATTGCTGTGTGCAGCGATTTTCTGATTTCACTTCTTCCCCTTTGAGTCAACTGTGTTCTGATAAATCTGGACCTAAATCTGTGAACATTCTATCTGAGCAAGGAAACAGAATAGGGTGATAATTACTTTACTCTGAAGTGGCAAGACCCACAAAGGGCTGCTACAGAGGCTTGTTCACGTTGTACCCTGACCAACACTAACAAGTGATACAGGAGCTAAAAAGAAATTATTTAGGCAGTTAGCGAGCAGAAGAGAGTCCTTGGTAAGGCTTCTCTTTTAACAAAAAGCACACCCTAAATCATTTCTTTTCTCACAAAGAACAGCCTGTACAACTGAGCTGCAGACATAAATAAGCAAACTGGAAGCTTGCATAGGTAAATGCCGGCAGTTGTGCCAATAGAAAAGGGATACCTGGAAGCCAGGTATATTCAATGTGGAGGGTCCCTCTTTCCTTTTCTTTGTCACCAAGTGTGCAGTAAAAAGCAGGCAACATGGCACTGGCCAGGTAGAGAATCCATCTGCATAATAAAGGAGTAGGGTGGGTTGGCCAGCTTCTTTGCAAGCTATGCAAACGGCACACCTGGTCTGACCAATCTCTAGTGCTCTGTATTAATCACACACCACCTCCTCAAGCTCATCTATAAAACCCCATGCATTTCATTGTGGAACCAGAAGATCCAGTGGGGAGCACTTCTTTCTTTGCAGGAGAAAGAGCTTTTTTTTCTGTTTTCTCTCGCCTATTAAACCTCTGTTCTTAAACTCACTTCTCATGTGTCCACGTCCTCGATTTCCTTGGCATGAGATGGAAAACCTTGGGGATTTACTCCAGACAATGAGGCTGCTTCAGAAGCATCTTTTATATGATCATGTATGTGAATGGTGCCTCCTTATTTGAGTAGTGCACAACCTATGCAACTATATCTGGTGACCTTCACAGCATTTCCATTTCCGGCCTTTTCTCATTATGCTTTTGTTATTTCCTCACTTAGAAAGCCCTCATGCATCAAATACAGAAGTGTCTACTGAGAACCTGCCTTGCAATTTTCCCTTTGTTGGGATCTAATGACAGAGCCATGAACATAATATTATCTCAAACTTCAAAGATTTCCAGTCTGCTGCAAGAGGCAGACGTAAACAGCAACTTTCTGTTAGTTATTGGCAAAGAAATGGTACACTGGGAGCTAAACCTATGGTACCAAGAAGTAATAGGAAACAGATTCCTCACCCCTGAGCTGTGAGACAGGCCACATGGACATTTCAAAACCAACAATGACCAGTGAGGTGACTCAGCCTTGTTGAAGATAAGTCAGGGTAGGGCAATGGAGGACTGGAAAGGAGGGTTTCTTTGGACAGAGCTGGGCTTCCGGTTTCACCTCACCTCCAGCAGGAAGCACAGGGAGCCAGCCCCTAAGCCCAGGCCAGTGGGAACAGCTCCACCAGCACTTGCAGGCCTGGCCACGTGTCCCACGCAGTGAGGCAGGCACAGAGGACAGGTGCCCGACTCACATTGAGAAGGCGAGAAAAAGCTAGGGATGGCTGAACAGAGGGCTGCACCAGGGGGAACAGGGGAGAGAATGTGTCCCTCTGTCGTGGGCTAAAGTTGTGTGACCCTTGGAACCCACTGTAGACCCCATTATAGATGTAAAAATACCTGCCTGGGGATGCTTAGAATGAAGTCCTGCCCAAGAGGACAGCATGCCTGGGTAAAAAAGACACCAACTATTTTGCTGGTGGCAGAAGCTAAGGGGGCTAGATGTAGATCACAAAGGAAAGAAATTCATTTCTTTCTTTCACAGATAAATTGTGTTTCACCAAGAAAACACAATTTGTGTGATTTATACAAATGGTAGATCACAATTTACCTGTTCCAAGAAAATTTGGCTGGATGGCCGAGAAGGGGCAGAGCTTCATGACAGATAATCTAGGTAAGAATGATCCAGACCGAGTGCGGTGGCTCACGCCTGTAATTCCAGCACTATGGGAGGCAGAGGTGGGCAGTTCACCTGAGGTCAGGAGTTTGAGACCAGCCTGGCCAACATGGGGAAACCCTGCCTCTACTAAAAATACAAAAATTAGCTGGGTGTGGTGGTGGGATCCTGTAATCCCAGCTGAGGCTCCCGAGGCTGAGGCAGGAGAAACGCTTGAACCCAGGGGATGGAGGTTGCAGTGAGCTGAGATCACACTATTGCACTCTAGCCTGGGTGAAAGAATGAAACTCCTTCTCGAAAAAAAAAAAAAAAGAAAGAAAAAGAAAAAAAAGGAATGATCCAAACTAAGTTAGGTGGTGTCCTGCAGTAGAGAGAATGTTCACTCCAGCACACATTCAAGAAAGAGTTAGGAATAAACATCATCCTGCATTCAACCTTAAGAATCCCCTTCTCCATTAAGATTTCCAGGGGGTTCCCATCTTCCTCCTGTTTCCTGCATTTTGAGTGTGAAATATTTTATTTATTAAAATTAACAATTGAATTTTAATATTTAGTATACTTCATTGAGCCTGAAATGCCAACTATAAATTACAATATTAGTTTTATGGACTACAAAGAATGAATACTGTCAATTCTCATTCAGATGCCATTCAAACATAAGATGGTTTGCAATTTCTGTGATCTTAAGGTGTGACAAAACATGAATTTTAGAATGACTGAAATATGTTGTTACTTTGATTTTTATGTTTACCTGATTTCTGTCTCCAGCAAATCTATGAGTTACTTGAGAACATGGACCTTGATTTATATTGCTGTAAACTTATAGAATAGGTAGTAAACTCATGGATAACAGATTATTTGAACTATAAGTCAGACCACTTGAAAGGAATATCAAATGTTTTAACATGTCATGAGTCACTCTCACCATTTTAATATGAAAATATAAATTTTTAAAAAGAAAACCTGAAAAGGAAAAACATGGCAAGGATAATTGCTTTAAAAACATCAAAGATGGGCAATTACAAATGTACAGATTCAAATAACCCAATACGGCTTGTTAGATAAACAATTCCCTAACAATTTCCCATGGTATTTGTCATGGTTCTCTAGA
The DNA here is from genome assembly GCF_000001405.40 of Homo sapiens. Classification (NCBI taxonomy): domain Eukaryota; kingdom Metazoa; phylum Chordata; class Mammalia; order Primates; family Hominidae; genus Homo; species Homo sapiens. Next base: position 166,597 of record NW_003315940.1, read on the forward strand.
GAAGCAGAACCAATAGGGTGTGTGTGTGTGTGTGTGTATACAATCTGCCCTCTGCAAGCTGGAGACCCAAGAAAGCTGGGGGTACAGTTTGAATCCCTGAGAGCCTGAAGCCGATTGTGTAGATTGAAGTCTGAGTCTGGAGGTCTGGGAACCACGAGCATAGAGGGCAGAAGATTAATGCCCCACCTTAAGCATCAGGTGAAGTTAATTCAATTTTCCTCTGCCTTTTTTCCAATGTAGGCCCTCTGTGTATTGGACCGTGTCCACCTACCATGAGGAGGATGTCTGCTTTACTTAGTTCACAGATTCACATTCTAGTTTCTTCTAGAAACACCCTTACCAACACACGAAGCATAATGCTTAACCAATGCATTAGTCCATTCTCACACTGCTGTAAAGAAATACCTGAGACTGGGTTATTTATAAAGAAAAATGGTTTAATTGGCTCACAGTTCCACAGGTTGTACAGGAAGCATGGCGGCGTCTGGGGAGGCCTCAGGAAACTTCCAATCATGGTGAAGGCGAAGGGGAAGCAGGGACATCTTGCATGACCAGAGTGGGAGGAAGAGCGAGATGGGGGAGGTGCCACACACTTTGAAACAACCAAATCTGGTGAGAAGTCACTCACTAGACAGTACCAATGGGGGATGGTGTTAAACCATTCATGAAAACTCCACCCTCATGAGCCAATCACCTCCCATCAGGTCCTGCCTCCCACATTGGGAATAGTAATTCAACGTGAGATTTGGGTGGAGACACAGATCCAAACCATACCAACCTGCTATCTGGGCATCTCATGGCCCAACCAGGTTGACACATAAAAGCAACCATCACTCACATTTCTCTACTCAGAGATAAGCATTTTCTACTCTTTTAAGCTATTTTGTTTTTAAAGTGATTTCTACATCGTAATATATTTTGATTATATCCCTAGGTCTTCATCTCTTCTTTAATATTTTCTTCTCTCTACATGGCCTCTAATTTCTAATAAGGGGATCCTTTTACCTCTCCACTTCAAATGATTTCTGTAGACCTCAATCTTCTTTGCAGTACTAGCTCAGCAACTATGTTAAACACACTCTCACTCACTCACCTCATAGAAAATGATACATCTGCCAAATGATGGGTTTTTGGTATGTTTTACAAGTTTTACACTAAATAAGCTCAAAATGTGTTGGGCAAGTTAAAAAGAAACATTACAGGGAAAGTTTCTACCCCTCCCTTTCTCTGCTTTGCAGTGTTTGGTCTATGGGAGAGAGAAGAAAAGAGAAAGAGAGAACGAAAAGGGGGAATGGTACTCTAAAATATGATGAATTCACCCTTGTGGATGATAAGCCAGCCATCTTTTAAAATTATAATCCTCTATTTGCATTTTCTAAAGACATATATTATTTCACTCCAACAACTTTACCCTTTCTCCAAAGCTATAACCTCACTTTTATTTTCCTAAAAGTTGCCTTTTATACTTTCTTAGAAACTCAAATTTTATCTTAAGTTTACAGTGATTGCTATCTTGTTCCCTGAAAAATGAGGGTTAAGGGGAAAAAAAAAACGGATGACTGAGCTCACGAGATCTTACACAAAGAGATTAATTGCTACCACTCTAAGGACTTGGGTAGAGTATGAGATGAGTAATCCGCAGAAGGCGGAGGAAACCAGAGCTGGCAGTGTTTCAACGGTCGAACATCTGGGCATTTGTAAATATTCTCGCACTGGAATGGTAAATTGGGAGCAACCATCTGGATGTTAGGCTAAAATTTTCATTTTTTTAAGATGGATTTTTAAGACCGCTATATAAAACCTTCCAGCTTTTCTCTTCATTCTTCTAGTTTTTAGTAGCAGCAGGGCATGTTGCAATAAATTCCACAATATTTTAACAATGAGATAGTGGGTCTCTCTTTATCCCACAACTGCCTGTAGCTTATGATTACACAAGTCTTTACTGGATTTAAACTTTGATATGCTCCTGTCCCCCAGGCTGAATTTTCTTTTGAAGTTTCCATGCAGTTAATACTGATCTTGTTCTTAAAAACGTGTCTGGGATTCACCTTCTAGATGGTGTCTCTACCACAGACAATCTTTTGGTAAGATTCCAATTCCTGTCTGTTGCTTCTGTTCCTAGATGTTTTTTGTTTTGTGTGTGTGTGTGTGTGTGTGTGTGTGTTTTAATTTATGAAGTTGTTCTGAAATGTCTTTAGACCCTTAATGCCATCAGCATCTTTAAGGAGATTCTAAACACATCTTTCTCTAAACTTTTAGGAGGGATGCTGTGGTGACCCCAATGCCACGATGGGTGTAATCCGGTCCAAAATAATTCAACCATCAAAAACTGTGGGTTTAAGTTTCTTAGCACATTTAGTTTACTTGCAGTCTCTGGGGGGAGGTGTGTATTTTTGTCCCACAAAGCCTGCTCTGAGGAGGAAAGGAATGTTTTCCTTTTAGTGTTTGCTGCCTCACCCTGGGTCTTATTTGTGACTTTCTGAGCAGGCTGAAATGCGTGGGTGAGTCCAACTGAATGTCTTTCTTCATGACAGCCACCGACAAGGTGAATGGAAAAGAAAATGGAAAAGAGAGAGGGTATATTAGTCTGTTTTCACGCTGCTGGTAAAGACATACCAGAGACTGGGTAATTTATAAAGTAAAAGAGTTTTAACGGATTCACAGTTCCATGTGGCTGGGGACGTCTCACAGTCATGGTGGAAGGAGAAAGGCACTTCTTACATGGCTGTGGCAAGACAGAATCAGACAGCCAAACAAACGGGGTTTCCCCTTATAAAACCATCAGATCTCATGAGACTTTTTCACTATCAGGAGAACAGTATGAGGGAAACCACCCCCAAGTTTCAATTATCTCCCACCTGGTCCCTCTTACAACATGTGGGAATTATGGGAGCTATAATTCGAGGTGAGATTCGGGTGGGGACACAGCCAAACCATATCAGAGGGAGAGAGAGACACACACACAGATTGTCTTCAGGAAGTCACCCTATGTAGTCTAAAAAGGGGAGGCATGAATAATCCAACACTTGTTTAGCAAATTATCAATAAATAACCATAAAAATGGGCAACCAGCAGCCCTTGGGGCTGCTGTGTTGCTGCAGGGTCTGTGGAATAGCCATCCTTTTATTCCTTTACTTTCTTAATAAACTTGCTTTCACTTTATGAACTTGACCTGAATTATTTCTTGCTTGAGATCCAGGAAGCCTCTCTTGGGGTCTGGATCCAGACCCCTTTCCAGTAACACTAAGAACTCGCTCATCCTCTCTTGGCAGGTCCTGGCCAGGTGGTCCTGAGGATCCTGCCAGGAAGAGATGGCTGCTCCTTGGCCACTCTTGCTTTATTACTGGCCTTGGGACATCGTCAGAATGGACATATTTTGACATCCTCGGTATGTGAACATACTGAGGAATGAATCAGCAACATTTATGTCATCAACTGGGCCACGGCTTCCAAAAGATCAGAGCCCTTTGCATTGGCAAATACACCCTATCTCATTGATCTGTGATAATTCATGGGAAAACACACAGCTCTCTGCACATCATCTGTCCTATTTTTTCCTGTCTCAATCTTGGAACTCTAAACAAAAAGCTGCCCAGTTATGATGACCGTGAATGGCCCACAACTAAATTACAGGGCATGAGGTTATCAGAAAGGACAATGTTTTAAGCAGGCCATGTCATGATTGCGTGTGAGATTGGAGATGAACTGCTGCAAACTCAGTCCTGGTTCAAATCAGTAATCATTACATTAGCTTTACACATTTTGAGATATTAAAACACATATCAATGGGCAGAGAAAAACATTAAATTTGCCAAATTTGTAGTTTGACGAATTGGCTTCAGATCCCTACAAAAAGAAAAAGAAAAGCCTTCTGGCATTATATTTTCATAATTGATTTTATTTTTATTTTTAGATGAAGTCTTCCTCTGTCACCCGGGCTGGAGTGCAGTGGCACAATCTCAGCTCACTGCAACCTCCGCCTCCTGGGTTCAAGTGATTTTCCCGCCTCAGCCTCCTGAGTATCTGGAATTACAGGCATGAGCCATCTTGCCTAGCTAATTTTTGTATTTTTAGTAGAGACAGGGTTTTGCCATGTTGGCCAGGCTGGTCTTAAACTTCTGACTTCAAACAATTCACCTGCCTCAGCCTCCCAAAGTGCTGGGATTACAGGCGTGAGCCACCAAGCCTGGCCTAATATTTATTTTTATCCTTCAGTTGATTATAATGAATCTTTACCTTTAATTTGAAGTGAGAATATGCTGAAAATATATAGATATCATCTTTATTGTATTGAACCAACTAATTATTTTTAAAGCAGGATTTATACTTTAGAAAAAGAGTATCCATGTTCTTTTCTTAAATTAACCAAGTCCTTGATACAAATACTCTCCAAACTCTAACTTCATGCATAGTACTCTACTGAGAATTTTGGTAGATTAGTTCTTGATCTTCAGAAAGTCGTAGTACATTTGTATGTTTATATATATATATATATTTTATAAATACATAATGTGTGTATATATAAATGAACACTTGCAAATATATAGTATATAAATGTAAAATACTTATAACATGTACTTAGAATAATAGAGCAATTAGAAATATTATTATTTGAATATTATTAACGTGCTAATTTTTAATAATATAATAATAATTGAGGAACAATTAAGTACCAGGTATTGTGCTAATTGTTTAATATGCATTATCTAATTTATTCCATCCAGCAATTATTCCGTCCAGCAATAATTATTAATTATTACTATTAAAAATAGATGTAGTTATTATACATCTATTTTAATAGTTATTGGACTGAATAAATGCGATGTATGCCTGGATGTATAAACAGCTACAAACACAGAAGAGTTCATGCACAGAAGCCTAGGTTATTGTTATACCTATTTTACAAATGAGAAAAAAAGAAAAGTTGATTTGTCTGAGGTCGTACAACTAGTATGCAGCAGCTGCCAGAATGAAATCCAGTTCCCTCTGACTCTGAAGCTGTGCTCCTCACCAGGGTAGAGAGAATTAGAACAGTCCATTCCCCAGAGCAGAAACTGTGGGTAGGCGCCAGGAGGGCCACTTGAAGTGGCGTCTGTCATTCAAGAAGGATCTTGAAGACGACTCACAGCATTATCTGCCAGGGAGACCGTGTCCCCAGAAGGATGGAAAAAAGACAGCTGGCAGCCATAAACCAACCTTAAAACACACACATAGGACCTGGCAACAAAATCTGCAGTGCACTGCGAGTCACTGTGTCTTAAGGGGTATAATTACATGTTGCTAGCACAAGTACGTACACATACATTCATCTATTTAAAGTATTAATTTAGAGATTGTAAGCATTTGAAATACACGACAGTTTCTGTAATCCTATATTAGCATTTCGCCATTAAAAAAAAACCCAGCTTATCAGGTCAAGAAATAGAATCATCTGGGCCTTCACCCACCTCTGATGGCCTGATCCATGAGTAAGCTGCTGATGCTGGGACGGAAATTGCATGTAAATGATGGGGACGTTGGTGCTGGGGAAGTGCAGTGAAACTGGACATGTTCAGCATTTGTTCGTCCAAATATAATTGCAGATGTGTAACCACCTACAAGCACAGGAGAGTCCATGCACAGAAGCCCAGATCCCCAGCAGCCTCATCTTCCCTTGAGCAAAACTTTTCTTCTCCATCATGAGATGAAGGAACCCCAACCCCTCCATCAGGTAGAGAGGATGCTGGGGAAGAAAGGGGCCCTCTGCCTGCACAGGTCATCGAGCAGCAGCCGACAGGGAGAGGTCACTGGGCAGGCAGAGTGGCCACACCCATATCCCCAGTTCAGCAGCAGTGTCCTGAAGATCCCACAATCCAAGTGGCAGGTGGAGGTGGAGCTGCCCAGCCCTGTGGCTCAGAGATGGCCGGCAGACACCCGCCCAGGGACACAGCTCAAGATAACCCTCAGACTTGACAGATAGTGCTGGTCTCAGCCACACAGTTATTCCATTGAGCCCTTTAATATCTTTCACTTCAGGAATCAAAACATTTAGTGCGCTCCATTTTAATCAGAGATGGGGCTGTGCCTCCTATTTGGATGCTATTTCAAAATAAATAAAATATTGCCCACAGCAGGTTTGACACATAGTTCAAAAATTGACTGCTGAATGGTGATATTGTTTTTATGTGTTTTTAAAAGGATGGTGTTTTTCAGGTTTAAAACATTAATTGGTCAGAGTGTATATCTTAGCTTCTGAACATGAAACACTGTTTGATGTAGCGATTGAAGCGTTAAAGCAATTTCTCCTGAAACTCTATAGATCTCAGTTCCTGTTCAGTGTTTCTCTAAACAAAATATTAGAAGGCAAATGTTCTATCTTCTAAGGTGGAATATTAGTTTTAGTGTCAGGTATTTTCTAAATGAAGTGTTTGCTACTTTCTCTGAGGTTTAAGTAAATGCTTTTTCTTTGATACGTAGGTACTTTGAAGATGTTTCCACTTCCCTTCGAAGATGTTCAATGTCCGTACATAGAATGAAAGGTGCCACCTTCTCCAGCATGAGACATATCCCCATGTGATCCCTTACCACGCAGACTCCTGGCTGAGTTAGGAAGAAAGAATAGAAGTCAATGCATTCCATTTGTTTTCAAGGCACACCCAAAAAGTATGAACTTAGATATATCACAGAGCTTCCAATTTACCTGCCTGTATTTACAAAATAAGTGTATGATTTCTCCCGAAACATTATTTTTTGCAAGTTACATGCCAATAACCACCACTGAACATAAGCTGATATTTTTGCTGAATGAAGGATTGTGAATTATCCTTGTAGCTTTCTTTGACTTCATTACACATTTCAATTACTTCTCTAAACACTGACTGCCGCCATAAAATATCTTTAGTTCTTTTCCCCTATGAAATGTGCTGCCAATAATAATATTTTACTAGAAAATAATGCAATAAATTAGCATGATCACAACCTAGAATTATATAAAATAATATTTGCTTTGTATTCAAGTGAACCTTTCCATGGACAGAAACAAGCACCTTGTCATATTTTAAGTAAACATTAATTATGAAAAACAAATTATTTGCAAGGAGGCAATACAAAAGTGGACGCTGGAGTTCTATGTTAGAGTAAATATCTGACAGATTTAATATGGAACTTTCTTTTAAAGTCTTAAGTTTTCAGTGCTCTTATTGGCAAATGATGTATTAGACCTAGTAACGTAAAACACAATGAAATAGATTGTATCTACTGGAAACATTAGTACTCATTAGATCTGATAACTGTGAGTCTAAATGTGAAATCTCTACTTTATGAATTATCACAGATGGTATTGTAGATGATGTCTTCACGCTCTTTTGCCAAATAAACTCCTTATTAAAGGAGGCCCTGAGGATGATTAAAACAAAATTTAGGGCAATGGTTGCATTAGAGGAAAGCAAAGGAGGAGAAAATTAGAGAAGTGCGCCCAGGAGGCATGAGCAGTATTCGTAATGTTTTATTTCCAAATTATACCTTATGTGCACCACCATTTGCTATACTATTCTTGATATCTATAACAAGATATTATGTGCGGATTCTTTCAGGACTCAGAAAACGATGGATGGCAAGTACTCCCCCTTTCCAAAGTGAGGTGCTGACCACTGGTAATGCAGTAAATCTTGAGGGTATCAAAGGATTGAAATGGAAGAGCCCTGAAAATTGGACATTAAAAAGGCATTAATTTCAAGAGCATTTTCTCTGTCCTGTAATTTCCCCTCCAGTATGAGATTGTGGTGGGAAGATGCACCTCTCCACTTCACCAGGTGTGAGATGAATTTTGTTTCAGTTTGATGTCACTCAGAAATAGATCCCGAGACAAGGTTTCAAGTTCTCAGGGTTTATGTGGAAGATAATCCAGAAAGCACTAGTGGAGAAGTGGGAAAGTGATACAGGAAAGAGAACCAACAAAGGATGTGTTACCCCACTGATGTCAACTGGAGTAGGATCCCACTAGGATACGCATGGTCCTGGGTTCTCATCTTGGGCAGAACAAAGGTAAGAGGACAACCTGGGCCTTTAGATATGTGATATGGGAGAGACATGACATCTGAAATGCAGATACCAAAGAAATCAGGGAAACGTAAATCCCTCACGATTTTACAACTAACTTAGGGAGGGCACTGGCCATCCCCATCACAACCATATAGTAATGGCAAACACAGTGACACAGGTCAAGAGATACATGGTCAACACATTATTATTATTTTATTTTTTAACATTAATATGTGATACTTGCAGATATTCTTTTATTTGGAATATCTCCATCTCATTAATTCAACATTATCCAGGGTCAATAATTTTTTTAATTGCTAAATTCACAGTGTTGTAAAATTACCACCTCTATCTAGTTCCAAAATATTTTTATCACCCAGCTGGACATGGTGGCTCACGCCTGTAATCCCAGCAATTTGGGAGGCCGAGGTGAGTGAATCACCTGAGGTCAGGAGTTTGAGACCAGCCTGGCCAAAATGGTGAAACCCCGTCTCTACTAAAAATGCAAAAATTAGCTGTGCGTGGTGATGTGCACCTGTAATCTCAGATACTTGGGAGGCTGAGGCAGAAGACTTGCTTGAACCTGGGAGGCAAAGGTTGCAGTGAGCTGAGATCATGCCACTGCATTTCAGGCTGGATGACAGAGCAAGACTCTGTCTCAAAAAAAAAAAAAATTCATCATCCAAAAGGAAACCCTGATAATAGCCATTCTCCAACAAGCAGCTACTCCCTAATGACCTCTCCCCATGGCCCCTGATAATTAGGAATCTGCCTTTTTTTCTCCACAGATCTACCTATTCTGGATGTTTCATATAAATAGAACCATAAATATTGTGACATTTGGTGTCTGGGTTCTGTATCTTAGCATAAAAATATATTTTAAGGCAAACAAAAAATTGTTACTACTCAACAAGACAAATAACACAATTAAAAAGTGGGCAAAAGACTTGAACAGATGTTTCTCCAAACAAAATGGCCAATGAGCACAGAATAACGTTCAATATCTTTAGTCCTTAGGGAAATGCAAATCAAGACCAGTGATTATTGGAATAAAGTGAATCATTGTGCTTAAAGGTTTGATTTACAGGCCGGGTGCAGTGGCTCACGCCTGTAATTCCAGCACTTTGGGGGCCGAGGCAGAGGGATCACGAAGTCAGGAGATCGAGACCATCCTGGCTAACATGGTGAAACCCCGTCTCTACTAAAAATACAAAAAAAAAAAAAAAAAATAGCCAGGCGTGGTTGTGGGTGCCTGCCTGTAGTCCCAGCTACTCAGGAGGCTGAGGCAGGAGAATGGTGTGAACCCAGGAGGCGGAGCTTGCAGTGAGCCGATTTCGAGCCACTGCACTCCAGCCTTGGCGAAGAGCGAGACTCTGTCTCAAAGAAAAAAAAAAAAGTTTGGATTACAAATCTGGGTAAATAATGACCCTTTGTTTCTGGATAGTTGTGTCATGATTGCTTGGGCAGAGTTGAGAGACAGATCTCCAAGACGTGGTCCAGTAGAATGCAGAGAGTTTGGAAATGAATTAATAGGGTTTCATTGTGTAAGAACTCCCCCTCCTTACCCAGTCATTTTCACACACTCTCAGAGTGGCTACCACTAGGCCATACTCCCCCATTCAAAAATGATGTAATTTAGGAAACCAGCTAAGTACAACTCATCCCAGTTATTGAAAAAGCTTTTTTCAAACTGTGAAATTGCAAGCAAGGAGGAAGTCAAACATGAAAGATGATGCATCACAGAACAAAAGAAGCAGCTGCAAACGTTCTAAGCCCTGGCTCCCATGTGACTTTCCTGTCAACTCTGCTTTCTTAAATGGCCAGAAAAGCTACTTCGTGGGGAAAAATTTATTTTCTGCAAATAATTTCATGCTTCTATGTGATTTGTATTACTTTTTATTTTCATTATCAATGCAACATTTGTTTTTTCCATATTATTAATACTTATGTCTCTAAATTAAGAAAAATGATTTTGAAAATTAGAGGCAATATCCAGTGCAATATAGCACCATTTAAATGAGCATGAAATCATTCTTGTAAACAAAAATATCTGTCACTAGGTAACTGAATTGTTCATCTATCACCCACATGTGATGCAGGCTCTGTTTATGCCTATTGTGCCCGCTAATTATAGCATTCTCCTGTCACTCTTAGAAATGCCCTAATGTGGATAATACATTATTTTACCATTCTAATTAGAAGCTTCTTTCAGGTCCTTTACTTATTTGGTGTATTAATAAATCACTTAATTTAAGATGCTTTTCAGAGTCCTGTTGGCTGAAGATGATAAGGACTGCATCTCTGGCCACATGCCCATGTTCTCATGGATTTGTGCTTGGGTGTAGAAGGGAGATGGGGTGAGGCTGGGATGGTGGTGCAGGGGGGGCAGCACCCTTTAGGTCTGCGATTCACACATGGGGCTAAGTGCTGGGGTGACTTCAAGCTGGCCAGACCACTGTGCTTAGAGTCCTGGAAACACGAACCTTATGTTTATGTTTGTGTCACTGTACGTGCATAGAGTTTCCCATTTTTCTTAAAGAAAACAAACAATAGCAACAAAAATGAATACTTTTGTTCTTTAAAACCTGGGCATGCTGTTTGCTACCCCTGCAAAGTAATATATATCTTCGAGGATTTAGTGTTGAGATTCTACTACCTCCTTTGCCACAAAATGAAGGAAATCTCCTGGGCATTACAATTGAAGCCTGTTTAGAGCAGTTAAACTGCTTCCTGAAAGCCCAGGGTCCCCCATCTCCACCTGTCTTTAAGGCAGAGGAAGCCCCTGTAAGAGTTAAAGAAAAATGAAATTAACATGAAACGCGGCCTGGCAGTTAAAGACAGGTTTACTTTAGATAAAACCTGAGAGGGGCCTCTGGCTGATTTCAGTCAGGAGTGCTTTGTCTTACAGACTACATATTGGTTTTAGGATGAGGGGCTTATTACAAGCTTGGAATGTTCCTGTGCAAGGGAGAAGTTTTATGGCAGAGTTGAAATGTCTCTGGGAGGAGGCGAGTTTGTCTAGGGCAGACATCTTTCTGGCAGGAGGGGGCTTATTTTGGGGCTGGCATCTTCCTGGTCAGAGAGGACTTATCTTGGGGCTAGCATGTCTTTGTTTGCGGGGGGCATTTGGAATGTTTCTGGTCAGAGATGTTATTTGTGGTTTATGGTCATGCTGACCGTAGCCATTAGGCTGATGCCTTTTGGATTTAGGTGTTTTTTTATTAAGGTGAACTTTAGAATGAGGGGCTTGTCCAAGATGGCGATGCTCCCACTCTGTCAGCCCCTAACCCTGCAGAGGCCCCAGAAGAAGCAGATCTGCCTCTGTTGCCTCTGAGAGTGGAATGCCCTGCCTCGAGCACCACTCACCTGGGCAGGTCACATCAGAGCCACTTCCCTCTAGGCCTCTTGAGGGTCACGGAGTCTGTGTTCCATGCCTGCTGCTCATAGGAGGTGGAGGACTCAACATAGCTGATGTTCTGGAGGGTCAACCATGGAGGAACATGAGCAAGAAGGGAAAGAACAGCATCTGAAAGTGGGCCAGTCTATCTGCTCTGACTTTTGTCCCTTCCTATTCATTCCAGAGGCCTCTTAGAAAGAACCACGCAGACCCTGAAGCTCCCAGCTTAAAATCTTTTAGTGGTCTCCATCACCTTCACTCTGTGCACCAGCCCTGCCCACCTTTCCAGCCACATGCCCACCTTCTGCCCCTCATCCCTCACCCACCACACTGGCCTTTCTCCTCTTCCTTAAACACATCAGGCTTTTACCTAACCCATACCCCGCAACATGCCCTTCTCTTTGCTTGGAGAACCCTTCAATCCTCTGTCCTGTCTAACTTCTTTCACCTGGCTAACCCCTATTCATCTTTCTAGTCTCAGCTTAAGTGTTTCTTCCTTAGAGATCCCCGCCTTGACCATTCTTACCCTAAAAAGTGATCGACTTGGTTGGGAGAGCACAGAGGGTGTTTAGGCCAGTGAAACCATAATGTGTGGCACTATCATGCTATAGACATGGCACTCTACATTTGTCCCAACCTAGAATGTACAACACCAAGAGTGAACCCTAATATATAAACTGTGGACTTTGGGTGACAGTGATCTCTTACTACAGGTTCATTCATTGTAACAAGCGTACCACCCTGGTGTGGATGTTGATAGTGGGGGAGGCTGTGCATGTGTGGGGGCAGGGAGTATTAAAGAAATCTCTGTACCTTCATCTAAATTTTGCTGTGAGCCTAAAACCACTGTTAAAAAAGTTTCTATTACAATGAAATGTAAAACCAAAGCACCAACAGCAAAAAAATAAACAAAAACAAACAAACAAACAAAAAACCACTACCACCAACAACAAAAACTGGTCCAGTCTGCTGTTACTTTGTTTTGTTGGGGCGGGATGCTTTGTTATCAAATCACCCATTGCTGGGCATAGAGTAGAAACCCATGGAGTTAGGCTTCAAAAGTGGCCACAAAATTTTACCCTCACTTAGTCACACTCCTTTGCAAATGATTTTCCCCTTCCTTCTAACCAAAGAGGAAATCTATTCTTTCACATCTCCAATCTGAAGTTGGAACGGGGAATTGCTTTAATCAATAGTAATTTAGTAAATATCACTTAAATGGGGTTAAAAAAGTGCTTCCTTTTTGAAGCCTGTCCTCTCTTGCTGCTCTTGGGAAGCCTGTAATGGTCACCCCTGAACAGGCTTCAGCTAGCCTGTTGGGTGAAGGACACATGCCCTGTGATCCCCTATCACCTCTGCCCAGAGCCGGCACCCACTGCCTGACACATAACTACACTGCTGAACCCCCAGTTACTGTAAACACGTGAGTGAACCCATCTCAGCTGAAGCTAGACCAAATTCCCAACCTACAAAATTGTGAGCAATCAAATAATTCTATTTAAAGCTACTTTGTTTGCAAACAGTCTATTATGCAGGAGAACCTGACTGACATACACAATAAATATTTGTGGAATGAACGACTGAATGAATAATGGTCTCTGAACTTACAAAAAACAAGACATCTGTGTCTGTGTATTTATTTTTACACATAGAAGGCAACATAGATATTATACATATGCATTCCCTTCTGCTAAAAATTAAGAAAGTACAACTGTCTCTGTTAAAATACTCATTTTGTCAGTAGGTTTCTATGGCTATTGACTTACTAAAATTATTAGCATGGGTATTTCCAGTTGGAAAGAACCTGAAATATTGCCAATTCCAGCATTCAGAATTCACTGGTGAAGAAACTGAGGCCAAGAAAGGATTGAGGACATGTGTTAGGTCATGCAGTCATCAGCAGTCACTGGAGCTTAAATGTGGAGCCTGGAACATGCAGTCAGCAAGACTCCAAGAGTTGAGGATCTGGGTAGCTTCCCAGAGTTCCATAGGATACAATGTTAGCACAACTCACTCTTGGGGAAATGCATTTCTGGGTGACTTCAGGAAGCCTTGGAGGAAGTTTGCGTATTAAAAGGGTGAATATGGTGGAAATAATGGTGGTGGTGGTGAGGGTAGTGATGGTGACTTCGTGTATGTTCATGCTTTTACCTCGAAACTTGTGGAACCCAGTGGAGAATGTAGTATTATTCAGGAGAGAGGAAATGGACATTTCTGCTGCTGCGGGATTGCAGGCAAAGCCACTTATTCCATTTCCCTGTATTCTTATCACCTTCTACAAATGCAGAGTTGATGTCAGGTGCAGATGAATCAATATCATTGCAAGAGAATAAAAAGTATTATGACAAAAAGAAAAACAAGTGGTCGCTAGAACACAGTTGATTTCATAAGGTTTTTGCATACATGCAATATTATCAAGTCATGTAATGTCTTGTTAACTTCTTTCATCTGCCTTCATCTCATTCTCTAGAAGTTTTACCTTTGATCTCCACTTTCTTTCAGGAGAAAGAATTCTGATAACTCATGTCCTGAAAAATAAAATTACGGAAGCCTACAGTGTGAAATTGGAATTTGTCCATGTGCATAATTTCCACAAGTTCTCTACTTAGATATATATTCTGTTAATAAAAAAGATTTTTTCTGCTCTTTACCCTCTTGGTAGACTTTTACATTTCTAATTTTAATGTTTTACATAAAAAGCATAAGAGAATATGGACATGGAAAAGTCAAACTATGACTACTCAAATATCGACAAGTTTGTTTATAAGTTATCATGATTTAAAAATAAAGATTAAAAACTTTTACAATAAACCAAACATTTAATTAATATAAACTGCAGCCAACTGCTTATTTGATTCCCATCCCTCCAGAAATAGAGAGAGAGGAGGGAGTGGGAGAGAAAGGGTGAGTGAGAGATTTAAACTTGTCTTTTCAAAAACATTATCATAATTTTTATTTCAATAGTTTTTGGGGAACAGGTGGTGTTTGGTTACATGGATAAGTTCTTTAGTGGTGATTGCTGAGATTTTGGTACACCCATCACCTGAGCAGTGAACACTGGCTAGAATGTGTAGTCCTTTATCTCTCACCTCCCCCCACCCTTTCCCCAAGTTCCCAAAGTCCATTGTATCATTCTTACACCTTTGCATCCTCATAGCTTAGATGCTACTTAAGAGTGAGAACACACAATATTTGGTCTTCCATTCCTGAGTTACTTCACTTAGAATAATGGTCTCCAACTCCATCCAGGTTGCTGCAAATACCATTATTTTGTTGATTTAAAAAATTTCCACAAGACAATTACTTTGGGGGGAAAGGTTGCTTTATATCCTTAGTTATTAAACATTTTACTCTCAATCCAGCCTGCCTGGCCCACCTTTTGTTTAGTCAGCATAAGGTCATCTTAAATTAGCCATCTGGGCGGGGCGTGGTGGCTCATGCCTGTAATCCCAGAACTTTGGGAGACTGAGGCAGGCATATCACAAGGTCAGGGGATCAAGACCATCCTGGCTTACATGGTGAAACTCCGTCTCTAATAAAAATACAAAAAATTAGCTGGGTGTGGTGGCAGGCACCTGTAATCCCAGCTACTCGGAAGGCTGAGGCAGGAGAATCACTTGAACCTGGGAGGCAGAGGTTGCAGTGAGCTGAGATCACACTACTGCACTCCAGCCTGGGTGACAGAGCGAGACTCCATCTCAAAAAAAAAAAAAAAAAAAAATGCCATCTGTAGGAGTCAGGAGGCATTGAATCCTAAATAACAATGCAGTGTCCAGATTGAAAGCAATGCAGACTCCATGGACTAATGGATTACTGGTCTCAATGGAAGAGTCAGATTTAGAAGATAAAGGTTTGGCCCGTAGAAAATTTTAAAGTGGCTTCTAAGGCTATATTAGAGAGAAAGAGCGCCAGAAACAGCTATATGCTGACTAATGCTTTCACTGGGACATGGCAGAGTGCAGGCACAAAAGGTATTAACAGGTGGCTACAGAGGCAAGTCTATAATACAGAACAATGCCTTAAACTCCATCAGGAGTGAATCAGAGAAATCTTGTCTGACTCATTACTTTTGCATGTTATAGTTGGGCTGAAATTCTACATTTCTGTACCTGGCAAATGTTCTTTGAAATTAATTTTACATTTTTGTAAAATACAGAACAATGCCTTAAACTCCATCAGGAGTGAATCAGAGAAATCTTGTCTGACTCATTACTTTTGCATGTTATAGTTGGGCTGAAATTCTACATTTCTGTACCTGGCAAATGTTCTTTGAAATTAATTTTACATTTTTGTAAAATACAGAACAATGCCTTAAACTCCATCAGGAGTGAATCAGAGAAAGCTTGTGTGACTCATTGCTTTTGCATGCTATAGTTAGGCTGAAATTTTACCTTTCTGTATCTGGCAAATATTCTTTGAAATTAATTTTACATTTTTGAAATTTTGCATACTTGTATCTGGCAAATATTCCTTGAAATTTCACATTTCCTAGAAACTAAAGGCATTGCTGTTGTTGGAGAAAATACTATATAACTCTGCATTTTTAGGTTTATATTTATTTGAGAAATGTTACTGAAATGTAAACTGTTTTTGTCTCTTGATGGTAGGGGATATGGGTGACTGTATTAGGCTGCTCTTGTGTTGCTGTGAGGGAATGCCTAAGGCTGGGTAATTATTTATAAAGCAAAGAGGTTTAATTGGCTCATGGTTCTTCAGGCTGTACAAGCACGGCGCCAACATCTGTTCAGCTTCTGGGGAGGCATCAGGAAGCTTACGATCATGGTGGAAGGTGAAGCAGGAGCAGGCACGTTGTATGGTAAGAGCAGAAACGAGAGTGAGGGGTGGGGATGTCCCAGACTTTTAAACAACCAGACCTCGTGTGAACCAATGGAGTGCAAACTCACTTATCACCAAGGGGATGGTGGTAAACTATTCATGAGGGATTGGGCCTCCATGATTCAGTCACCTTCAAATCCATGATTTGGGCATCCATGATTCAATCACCTCCAAATCTCATGCTGAAATGCCATTCCCAGGGTTGCAGGTTCAACATGAGATCTGGAGGGGACAAACATCCAAACCATAACAGTGAGTTTAATTTTTCTTTAAGTTTTTAAAAATAATCTGTATGTTCTGATTATTCTAAAGTGATTGTGTGATTGTATTTCACGTAATCAAATACATCTATAAGAAAAATGGAATGGTTTTAAAATGAAAAATGTCATTAGCTGCAAAATGAGGCTGCAGGGTTGTCCTCTGGCAGGGGAATGTTCTCACACATATCTTGTTATTGTCTTGTTATCATGATTCAGTCTGATGGGAAAATGTCACCTTTCACTACTGTGATTAGCTCATGTCATTTTATCCTCACCCTGGCTCAGACTCGTAACTCACAGAGAGGTGCCTTTTTTTCCCCTTAAAATCACTGAAGGCATGAATCATAGCTATGTACCTTCCTGATTTAGGGCATATTTGTGGCAGAAACGCATGAATGAATATGATGATTATTTACTTATGAACCTAATCAGAGATTCAGGCATCAGTCTTCCCAGGATGAACTCAGATGGACTTGGTTCAGAAGGAATAAATTACAGGGCGTGTCCATTTGTGATGCACCTGCATAATATGTGGATGTTGTTTTCACACGATTATGACTGCCATGATACATGAATTTTGCATGGTTCTACTTTAAAGGATATAGTTGTTAAGTTGCCAAATTTATAACTTTAGATATTATTCCAATTTGTTTTTGTTTTCAGATAGAATTTCCGTCTGTCTCCCAGGCTGGAGTGCAGTGGCACGATCTCGACTCACTGCAACCTCCACCTCCTGGATTCAAGTGATTCTCCTGCCTCAGCCCCCTGCGTAGCTGGGATTACAGGTGCCCACCACCATGCCTGGCTAATTTTTGTATTTTTAGTAGAAACGGGGTTTCACCATATTGACCAGGCTGGTCTCCAACCCCTGACCTCAAGTGATCCAACGACCTCGGCCTCCCAAAATGTTGGGATGACAGGCATGAGCCACAGTGCCCAGCCAGTTTTCCAATTGGAAACGGCCACCTGAAACTTTTTTTAATGACTGTGAAATATGACTTGTCATTAAATGATCAGATTTTAAAAGACCTAGAAAACTCAAAAGAGGTAACAATGAAGTAACTATTTCTAACATAAAATAATTTCCTCCTCACCCACCTTGCTCAGATTTCCTAGGTCACCTTGAAAGGATCCGTGCTTTAGAAGCAAACCTTAACAACGATGTTCCTGTCATTTAACACTTAAAAAAGCCTACCTTTTGATTCTAATGA